>NC_000012.12:77157097-77308612 GCF_000001405.40 Homo sapiens
CATTTGATGACACTGATCAAGCTATATCACAATAGCATGTTTGTCTTAATTGAGCATGTGCACCCTTAATTGAGCATACGCACCCTGCAAGAAGTACTGAATGGAGTCATAATTGAATTTAATGCCAAGTACCATACCAAGTATGTAGAGGAGCTCAATACAAATTTGTTAAATAAATAATGGATGCATTTGTTCAAAGTGAGCAGAATATAAAAGAACCTTTATCAGTGCAAAGCATTTAGTAGGCACTAGGTATATGTTCGTTTATTCATCCCTCATCATGGATCAATACCGCAGGATCCATCGTTAGTTGTATGCCATTTCCCACTGGTTTACCATGTGTTATTTACAAAGAAGTAAGCTGTTTAGTTGTATGGTAACATTCTATAGAGTGATTTTCTTGGACTAAGATAAGCTAGATTCCATGAAAATTGAAACTGTAGTTTCTGATCTCAAGGCTTTTGCATAGTCTTATGACTTAATGCTTTCCCTTTCAGGCTTGGCTGGCTCCTTATTCTTTTTTAAATTCTTTTGTTCTGTTCTTTTTTTATTCCTATAAATCTAAGGGGTACAAATGCAATTTTGTTCCATGGATATATTGCATAGTGGTAAAGTCTGGGCTTTTAGTGTAACATCAATAGCATAATTTAATGGTGAGATAGGGTCAATCACTCAAAAAGTATAAATTGTACCTATTAAGTAATTTCTCAGGTCTCACCTCCCTCCCACCCTTTTACTCTTCCAAATCTGCAGTGTCTATTTATTCCACACTTTCTGTCCATGTATACACACGACTTAGCTCTCACTTATAAGTAACTACATGTGGTATTTCATTTTCTGTTCCTGAGTTGTTTCACTTAAAATAATGGTCTATAGTTCCTTTCATCTTGCTGCAAAAGACATGATTTCATTTTTAAATGGCTGAATAGTATTTCATTATATATAATATATATATATCCATTATATATATTATATATATACACACACCCACATATATAAAATATATAATTTAAAAAATCCAATCATTCATTGATGGACACTTAGATTGATTACATATCTTTGCTATTGTGAATAGCGCTGTGACAAACATATGAATGCAGGTATCTTTATGATAGCATTATTTTTTTCTTTTCCTTTGAGTAGATACCAGTAGTGGGATTGCTGGATCAAATGATAGTTCTATTTTTGGGTATTTTGGTTATTTGAGAACGCTATATACCGTTTTTCATGGGGGCTGTACTAATTTACATTCACACTAAAAGTGCATAAGCATCCTTTTTTTCTGTGCCCATTCACCAAGATCTGTTGTTTTTTGACTTTTAAATAATAGCCATTCTGGCTAGGGTAAGATGATATCTCATTGTAGTTTTAATTTGTATTTCTCTGATGATTAATAATATTGAGCATTTTAAAAATATGCTTCTTGGCCATTTGTATATCTTCTTTTGAAAAATGTCTATTCATGTCCTTTCTTCACTTTTTAATGGGGCTATTTGTTTTTTGTTGTTGTTGAGTTGTTGAATTCCTTGTAAATTCTGGATATCAGTCCCCTGTTGGATGTGTACTTTCCCATTCTGCAGGTAGTCTGTTCACTGTTGGTTATTTCTTTTGCTATGCAGAGCATTTTAGTTTAATAAAGTCCCATTTGTCTATTTTTGTTTTTGTTGCTTTTGCTTTTGAGATTTTAGAATCTAGAATTCTTTGCCTAGACCAGTGTCCACAAGAGTTTCTCCTAGGGTTTCATAGTATTTTTTATAGCTTTAGGTCTTACTTTTAAGTCTTCAACCCATTTTGAGTTGATTTTTGTATATGGTGGGAGACAGGGGTCCCATTTCATTCTTCTGCATATGGCAATCCAATTTTCCCAGCACCATTTATTGAAAAGGGTATCCTTTCCCCAGTGTATGTTTTTGTTGACTTTCTCAAATATCAGTGGACTTTAAATGTGTGACTTTGTTTCCGGGTTCTTTATTCTATGTGTCTATTTTATTCTAGTACCATTCTGTTTTGGTTACTATCCAGAGATGTCCAATCTTTTGTCTTCCCTGGACCACATTGGAAGAATAAGAATTGTCTTGGGCCACACACAAAATACACTAATGATAATTGATGAGCTAACAAAAAATCACACAAAAAAACTCATAATGTTTTAAGAAAGTTTACAGATTTGCGTTGGGCTGCATTCAAAGCTATCCTGGGCTGCATGCAGCCTGTGGGCTATGGGTTGAACAAGCTTGTTATAGCCTTATAGTATAATTTGAGGTCAAGTAATGTGACATCTCCAGCTTTGTTCTTTTTATGTAGGATTGCTTTGGCTATTGGGGCTCTTTTTTGGTTCCATATGAATTTAAGAATTTTTTTTTCTAATTCTGTGAAAAATGATATTGGTATTTTCATAAGGATTGCATTGAATCTATAGATTGCTTTGGGTATTATGGTCGTTTTAATGATATTGATCCTTCTGATCCATAAGCATGTGCCTCTGATGTTTTTCATTTGTTCGTGTCATCTACAATTTCTTTCATCAGTATTTTGTACGTTTCCTTGTAGAGCTCTTTCGCCTTCTTGGTTAAATAATCTTGATTTGGTTCTCAAGTTGATCATTCCTGGTGTGTAGGAATGGTACTGATTTTTGTAGGTTAATTTTGTGTCCTGAAATGATATGAATTCACTTACCAAGGTCTCAGCTCCAGTGGTTTCTCTTAAGGATTTTCTTGACCACTTAACCCAAAGTCCTCCCTTCTGCAGTCTTCAATTGGTGATTTCAAGTAACTATCACATGGAGTAGTTTTAGTGTCTATTTATCACTATATAAAATGATCTTGCTTATGTATTTCTTTTACTCATTGACTATAACTGTCTTCTTGAATGAAAGTCTATGAGAACAGGGCCTTGCCTGTTGCCCTAGTACTTTTAACACTCCCTGGTATGGGTTGGGTGAATACATGCGTAAAGTAACCTTATAAGACAGCTTCCTTAGTATTATTACATGGGCCAGTATTTCTCAGGATCATTTCAGTTCCTTAAACAAACAAAAATTCTCGTTAGACAAATATTCAGATGCCCATGTGTGGTGATACACTTGATAAAATTTGCACATCCTATGTTGACTTTTCATCAAGTCAATAGAATAGATGGCTAATTCTATCATCGTAACTATTAGTGGCTTTCATTGGGATTGAGAGAAACTGGCCAAGTGATTTTGTATAACCTATTAATTTGGAAAGTACTGTGACAAAACAATGGAATTTTAATTTTTTTAAGAAAAGAACATAAGAGTAATATAAACACAAAATAAATTTTGACAAAATTTGTTTCTCGGGGAAATGTTAGTTGACTTTTCTTTGATTTTTTTCTTGAGTGGGATTGTGTCCTAAACTCTGAAAGGAGGGCAGTATTTGGGGGAAAACATTTTGACTTTTTCTGTACCCTTCACTGAACTCCCTCTACATGAGGGAGAATGACATAATTTAATGGTGAGATAGGGTCAGGAAGTTATTCACCGGCTCATGATTTAACAATAGGTAGAGGTACCATGCACAGTCTCTCTCTGGCATTTCACAGGTGCTGTTATACAGTCCATGATGCTCCACACAGTTGGTTGAGTAAGAGATCTTTGCAGATTCAGATTTTCCCAAGATAGGCCCCAAGGTCTAGTACTGGGGAGCTTTACTACTGCTTGAATACAGCCAATACCAGAGAGTGCTAAATACATTGATAGTTTATTTTGATCCCCATCTGGTTTCCTTTGTCAATTTTTCAACTCATTGGAATTCATAGGGAAAAGAATAAGACAGTGGGCTTTCTAGAACCTCCAACACCACAATTCCCACTTCCTTCTACAAATGAGAAAACTTCTTTGGTTTTGTAGGTGAAGAAAAATTTAGAGAATATGAGAAAATTCCATGTTATCATCATCAAAGAACAACATGAGAATAATGAGTTTTTTAAGTAAAGTAAAAATGTAGGATTTAGAAATGACTTTTATTCAGAACCTGAAGTTGTGGCAGTTAAATGATTCCTGTGGCTCTGTGGTATTCCTGCCATGTGAATCTGGAGCCCAGCTCAGTAATACTCTTCATTTGGCTAGAATCAGCAAAGCATTAACAAGTAAACATTTCTGGTTGTCTATTATTAAGCAATATACTGTTTTCCTTTATTTTCACTAATTCTATACACTTCTGCAATGAAATGGTGAAGAGTGCTTGTGATAATTGCTGGGTTTCTATATTTGTCTTAGAAATTGATACTTCATAAACACCAAAGTGCTATTTTATAGGTGCTATGTTTGCACATGTGTAGAAACTTAATAATTGTCACTACAATAATTTGATATTCTTTAAAGGGATATGGAAAGTAGAATAGAATTTTTTAAAATTTTCATTTTAATTTGACCCCACTCTAAGCTCCTAGGACTCTAACAATCTCATCTGACTGAAATTCAGATTTAAACAATGGGCCAACATACTTTGATATCTAAGAATAAATATTAGAGCCTGTTCTAAGTTGACAATAAACTCTACTTGTGTATAAAGATGCTCAAGAAATGCCCTTTTATGCTTAAGTAATGACAGGGCATTTCCATTAAGAGATGATAAAGGAGCAGAAAGTGGCAAATACTGTCTTGTCTTAGGAAAAAAAGCTATGGATCTTCTAAATGTCAAGAATGGAATTTACCAAAATTGCCTAAAATTTTGGAAAGTAAAAAATTTTAATACAAACCACAGTCTTGATTATTTCAGCTTGTGGCATTTCTTAAATAACCTTTAACCGTTATCATCTTCTGACTATGATATGCAAGAGGACTGATAAATAATGATGCAGATTTTTGTTTTTTATTTTCCTAGGCTTACAGAATCAGAAGTCAAACCTACCCATTTTGTGATCTAATCAATTTTCTTTGGTTTAACACCAAGACTAAGGCATCCCCTTCTTAGGCTCTTCCAGCTTATCTGAACTTAGAGTTTTAGTCATTCATGTAAAGCCTTTCATGCTGGTTTTTTATTTGAAAATGGGTCCCAGCTGCTCTGTCTTTCTTAATCCCTCCCAGAAAGGCATATGCGACAGCGTCTCCCCCTGGGAGACTGCAGCTCCAAAGCTTTTTCTCCTAGGTAGGGAAAGTGCAAAGCCAGACACTATTATCATGCTTACTTCCCCAGCTGGCTAATTAGATCAATATATGGTTTATATTTTGATGAATAGACAGGCATATAAGAATAGTGTGTGTGTGTGTGTGTGTATATATATGTGTGTATAATATATAAAAATATATATAGAGAGATAATGGAAATTGTTATTTAATTAGCATTTTTAAAACTTCTATCAGGTTCTAGCATATAATAAGGATTCAATAAATATTCAATGAATACTTGAAAATGTGAAGAGATAAAAATATTACATAGCCAGTACAGGAAATTTTGTAAGTTTAAATACTTCCCCATATTTTGTCTTTAAAATAAGATTGAAAGCTAAGTATTTGACTTATATGTTTTAAATCCAATCAAAGAACTAAAGACTATGAACTCATTCTCTAGCTTCTTTTTATAATTATATAACTTTAGTTTTGAACCTGCTCTCTAAGAACTTTTAAATTATTATCTCTTATCTGTATTTGATATTATTAAATCATTCACTTTTACATTTAGAAATTTTTAAACCAAATAATTCATAGGATAATTTGTATACCTTTTATATATAATATATAAAATTTTGTTCCTGAGTAAAGTTATAGACTCTATTCTTATATCCTATATTATGCCAGTGATGTATAACAATATATACTTTATTTATACTCAGAGTAGATACTTACATTCTTTTTTCTTTTCACACGTCAAGGGTAATGTGCTGACATCATAACAAGGTTGGAGGGAGGCCCATCTCACAAGAATGTGGAAACCCAATCATCATGCTTATGAACCACAAAAGGATCTAGATACTGATGTTCCTATACACTTATTTCTTATGTCGAATAGTGCAATTCAAATTCTATTCTTGAAGCTTAAAGATAACATTGGAGCTGGCCCAAACTAGTAAAATATATGATTGTGAATGGAGTTTATCAAAATGTAGACACAGTAAATATCCTAAAGCTTTAAATCTACTTCTGAAACAATGACAAGCAGGCATTTTGCCAGTGCTAATTTGCTTTACTCTATTGATTCAAGCTTTATTGGGCATTCTATTGTCTCTTCTAGGGAAGGCATCAGTGGAATACAGAACAGTGAAGGCTTATTCAAGATAATGTTATACTCATGAATCACGCCACCTAATACCTGCACTGCTTAGACATGCAGAACATAAAGCGTCTTCTCAAGATATCTCAGTAAAAGATATCTCTTCTTATATACAAAAGTGGAACTTGTTTTGTGCAATCACTTCTTGGTACAGTTACAATAGAAAATTCTCAGATGTACTCCACTACTTTAAATAGATTCCTGCATCATTGAAAAAAATTTTCCAAGTCAACATAGTCTTAAAAACTAGTCAATCTTTTCTTTAACATCTTGAATGAATAAAAGCTCACTCCCCTTATTACTACTTATTGCTGCCTCTCTGTCTCTAATTGCTCACCCTCTTTGAGCACATTACTGAGTGAGGATAAAAAAGCATGCATTTTTTTTGTGTAGTAAAGTCATCAGAATATTATATGTTCAAGGGAGAAGAAGAAATTTTTGAAGACAAATGGAATGGTGATCTCATTTTTCATCCCTATTATAGGCTAAGCATAACAGTCATGGTGTGACTATGGCTGTCTGAGCAACTGATTTACATTTCTCCTTTACTGCATTTCTTGCCCTGGTTGAATGACATAATGGGTATTTGTCTAACTCATTGTTCTCGGGAGAGTTGGCTTCTTATTTTCTGTGCAGTTAGAAACACCAAATCTTGTTTTTATACATTAATATCATCTACTAGGTGTCAATACAAAGCCTTTAAATATAGGGCTTTGCAGAAGAGGGATTTAGATTCATGGTTTCTAGAGTTTCGAAGAGGATAACCCTATGTATGCAGTTCAAAAATTTACATTTGTTTCCTGACACAGGTATTGATCATGATTTTCTATTTTGGTAAACTTTAGATATGAAGGTAAAATAAGCTGACATCTAGCTTCTTTGTGTGTTTGAAAAATGGCTTAAATGAGGGAGGTCTGTTGGTTACTGCAGCAGAGTGAATAGAACAGCAGGATAGCACAGAAGCTGAAAAAATGTTCTCATAGCATCTCAGTGGGGTTGAAAATAGGTACTACTCTTTTATCAAAAAAGAAAATAGGACATCATAAAGTTCATGATATCCACTTAGAGTTATCTATTATTATGCTTTAATATCTTAAAATGTAAAATTTGTAAATAGATCACTAAACAGGTGAAACATTTAAAGCTATTCCCTTTTCTTCTTTATTAAAGAGATCAAACCTAAAATAAAAAATAAAAAATAATAATAAAAGAAGAGATGAGCCACTGCTCTTCTTCTTGCTGGGTGAGTCATTTTACCTGAAGGACAGCCTTGCTTTGGTTCTTAACTGTTTTGTTAGGTCTTCCTCTTACTGATGGAAGATGCTCCCTTGTGATAAGCAGGGTTAACTGTAAACTTAATTAAAAACCAAAAGTAAACTGTAGATTTATCTTTAATCAAACCATAGGGCAACTTTGACTAATCTATTTTTACCAGGCAGTACCTTTAGGCTAAAAGTAGGGACAGCCAGTATAATGGCTAAATACTGAAGAGGAGTGGAAAACATGGGAAGAAAAATCTGAAAATTCACTAATCGGTGGTATAATTGTGAAAGACAGGCTTTTAGGATCACATGGTGTTAGAACCAGGTCACTTAGTTCAACCCACTGATTGTATAGAAGTAAACCCTGATCCCAGAGAGATGAAGTGGTACCCACTCAAATGTAAATGGGCTGGCCATTGGAGGCTGGGGATGTAGGGCACTGACCTCTTCTCAGGTCCAGCTTGTTGCTGGTAGGAAGCAAAATGGGACCAGTACTACCAGTCTTCAAAGGAAGGCATAAATCTAGATGTTAATGTAAAATTTTCCAATTTTAAAATTTTGACAAGTACATAATTCAAAAATTTTGAAACAGTAAGTCATACAATATATCTGTGGGTCTCAAGCTTGTAACTTTTGGGTGAAAACATGTGACATAGTCCATAAAATTCTTCTTTAATAACTATAACCATAAAATAAGAGTTTTACAAAATTATAACTACAGTAACCAACATAGCATGGGACGGCTACAAAAACAGACACATACATCAATGGAACAGAATAGAGACCCAAGGAATAATGCCACACATCTACAATTATCTGATCTTCAACAAAATCAGCAATAACAAGCAATGGGGAAATGACTCCCTATTCCATAAATGATACTAGGATAAATGGTTAGCAATATGCAGAAGATTGAAACTGGACCCCTTTCCTACACCATACACAAAAATCAATTCAAGATGGATTAAAGACTTAAAAATGAAACCTAAAATTATAAAAACCCTGAAATGTAAGGTAGGGAATACCATTCTTGACATAGGCCCTGGCAAAGATTTCATGATGACACCCAATGCAATTGCAACACAAAAAGTCTACAAATGGGACTAATTAAACTAAAGAGCTTCTGCACAGCAAAATAAACTATCAACAGAGTAAACAGAAAACCTACAGAATGGGAGAAAATATTTGCAAACTATGCATCTGACAAAGGTCTAATATCTAGCACTTATAAGGAACTTAAACAACTTAACAAGCAAAAAGCAAACGACCCCAGTAAAAAGTGGGCAAAAGATGTGAACAGTTTTTGAAAGAAGACACATGTGGCCAAAAAGCATATGAAAAAATGTTCAGCATCACCAATCATTGGAGAAATGCAAATCAAAACCACCATGAGATACCATCTCACACCAGTCAGAATAGCTATTAATAACAAGTCCAAAATTAACAGATGCTGGTGAAGTTGCAGAGAAAAGGGAACACTTATACACTGCTGGTGGGAATGTAAGTTAGTTCAGCCATTGTGGAAAGCAGCTTGGCCATTTCTCAAATGACTTAAAACAATTACAATTTGACTCAGAGATCCCACTATTGGGTATATACCCAAGGAAATATAAATCATCCTACCATAAAAACACATGCACACGTATGTTCATCACAGTCCTGTTCACAATAGCAAACATACAGAATCAACCTAAATGCCCATTAACGGTGGGCTGGATAAAGAAAATGTTCTACGTATACACCATGGTATAATGCAGCCATAAAAAAAAACAAGATTATGTTTTTCACAGTAATGTGGATGGAGCTGGAGGCTATGATTCTAAGTGGACTAATGCAGGAACAGAAAACCAAATACTGCGTGTTCTCACTTTTAAGTGGGACCTAAACAATGAGAACACATGGACACAAGGAAGAGGACAACAGACGCCAAGGCCTACTTGAGGGTGAAGGGTGGGAGAAAGAAGAGGATTAAAAAACTACCTGTTGAGCATTATGCTTATTATGTGCTAATGAAGTAATCTGTACACCATACTCCCATGACACATAATTCACCTATATAACAAACCCTCACATATACCCCTGAACCTAAAATAAATGTTAAAAATGTTATCATTCAATGAATAGTTGTTGAGTACTTTCTGGGTGACTTACAGTTTCATTTGATGCTGTGGTGGATATGGAAGAAATAATTTCACTTATGTCTTCCAAAAGATTATAATTTGGCTAGACAGAAGAACCCAAGTATTCACAAAACAACCAGAAGACAAAAATGCTTCACGACTTTGAGATGAGTAATCATGTTGCCTACACTTTAGAAAAAGGAGAGTGATTCACTAAATGCTCAGTGATTTTATGGATGCCATATTTAGAAGCATAAACTGTGAAGGTCTAACTCGCTGTACTCTCTACAATATGTGTGTACACTCAGTACCCAGTCTGGATACCAAGGGTTGGTCCTTTCTAGTTTCTATGTTTCATACCCATAAATCAAGAGGTCTAGACTCGTATTCAGCTCTCTCACAAAATGAGACTTCAGAGGTTTTGTCTCCTAAACCTGTCTTCTTCCTGTATTATTTAGGATGCTTTCTTACTCAAGTAATGAAAAGTTCAACCTGAGCTGGCTTCAACTATAAGGACACTTATTACATAACATCCTCATTGGGGATGGTATGGGGGAGAACAGAGGTTGTTTGATTCAGCAGATCAGTGATGTTGCCAAAGTCCTATTTTTTCCCACTATTTTGTTTTTTCATCCTCATTGGCTTTGCCCTCATACTGGCCTCCCTCGTTTTCATGAGGTGTCTGCTGAAGGGCGTGTGCCCTTCTGGACGTCACATCCAAACTGTGTTCAGAGGAAGAAAGGGGCTGTTTCCTTCTGTGTCTCTGTCTTATGAGTGAGGAAACCTCTCATGGAAGCTCTCTGAAATATTTTGTCGCAAGTCTTAGTGGTGAGGATGGAATCACAAATCTATTCCTAAGCTAAACATCAGTGAGTGGAACGAGATTATCATAAAAGGCTCAGGCCAGTAATTCTCAACAGGATGGACTAGTGCCTCAGGTAGGATGATTCCAATCTTTGTTTTGTGTGACTGTTTCATACATCTCAGGATGTGTATCATAGTGAGTGAAAAATACCAGTAATACCTCTCGATCACCAAAAACTGATAACTTTTAGTGAAAAAAAAAGATGATGAAAGGAAGACCAGTAGTGACCTCTCAGTCACTAAAAACTGTAATTCTCAACAGGGTTGTATTGATGTTTCAGGTAGGATGATTCCAATCTTTGTTTTTGTGAGACTGTCCCATCCATCTCTGAATGTGTATCATACTGAGTGAAAAATACCAGTAATACCTCTCAGCAACTGAAAACTCTCCTGCCCAACATTTCGCAATAACTCCCAAGGGGGAGGGAGCATGCCCTGTTGAGGACAACTGGCTTCAATTGGTCATGTCGAAGGAATGAATTGAGGGAATTAATCACAAAGTCAATGATACTCTTCCCAATGGGTCTGTTTCCCCATTTCAGCATCATCATCTTTGTTATGTAAGTCAGAACCTCAAGTGGCATCCTACACATGTGCTTCTTTCCCACTTATAACATCTGATAGTGACGAAGTCTGCTAAAATATACTTTAACTCTCTTTATCTCTCTTGATCGCCTTGGTCATCACAATAGTCCAGGTCACTATTATCTCTAGCTCAGACAATTGTTAAGAGTTTCCTAACTGGTATCCCTGCTTATATTCTTGCCCCTTATTCTCCCAATAGCAACCAACATGATTTTATTTTTATTAATTTATTTTATTTTGAGACAGGGTTTCACTCTGTCACCCAGGCTAGAGTGCAGTGATGTGATCACACTGCAACCTCCACCTCCTTGGCTCATGTGATCCTCCTACCTCAGCCTCCCAAGTGGCTGGGACTACAGGCATGTGCCACCACGTCCTGTTAATTTTTGTATTTTTTGAAGAGTCAAGGTTTTGCCATGTTGCCCAGGCTGGTCTCGAACTCCTGGACTCATCACCTGCCTCAGCCTCCCAAAGTGCTGGGATTACAGGCATGATCCACCACGCCCACCCAGTGAATATGATTTTAAAATATATTCAGTAAATCTAACTTCATTAAAAATTATTGAGTGAATTTCCATCTAGCTTAATAATTATCTGTTTACTTTCTCTGCCCCCTCACTTAAGCCTCGTGAGCAGTCATGTATTTGTAGTAGATTATATTATTTTCCCAAACACTTCTCTTCCTCCTGTGTGAGAATTATACATCCATGTCTTCTGCCATGTGACTTTTCAGCTCCTCCCACTGGAGTAGGAACATCATATTTCCTTGTTGTACTGATGTTGGGCTTGGCCACATGCCTTCCTCTGGCCAATGTGAAGTAGGTGGAGGTGAGTGTTTCCATAATGTGCCATGAGAGACATGGTGTATTTCCACTTGCCCGTCTTGTGGTCGTCTGTGTGAAGATTGTGCTATAGGTAGCTTCTGATCTTTGAATGAAAACATTTGGTGCACACCAGAACCCAATACAACCTGGACTCAGGCCCAATTGCACTCCAGCTGAAGTCTTGGCAATCTGCAGACCTGTGAGCAAGAAAAAGAAGTATCTGCTGTTTTAAGTCACTGAGATTTCGAAGTTTTTTCTTATGCAGAATTATTGCAGTAATAGTTAAGTAATTATTGTTAGTAATAATAACAACAGTTGAATAATCTTATTCAGAGTTTCAGGATAGTACATTGGCATACAAGGTATTAAATAAATTTTTTTTAGTAAATAAAAATACACTTGGTAAAACCAATTTTATGATAGGTGACTACATTTGAACTTATTTGAACTGTTTCTTCCTATTTGCTCTTGAATGAGGCCATGTCAGATTTCTCTAAAAATGTTACACTGTGGATCATATTGATCCTTTGGAAAATGGGAATTCTAAGACTTTCTTGAATGAAAGTTCACATTTTCAGGTCTGCAATTCCAGGGTCAATTATATAAGGGGTATAGCTTCATTAGGGGCTGTGCAGAAGCATGGGAATTGAGTTGTTCCACATAAAACTCCTCATCTTGAAGTTCTGCCACTCAGTATGCCTGTTTCCTACCATAAACTGTATACCCCAGTCCTGACTTTGGTAGATACCTCTATATTCTGGCTTTAAAGATGATAGAATGACAGATGTGGTGGCTCCTACTTGTAATCCCAGCACTTTGGGAGGCCAAATTGGTAGTTTTGCTTGAGCCAGGAGTTTGAGACCAGTCTGAACAACACGGCAAGACTCCATCTCTACAAAAAAAAAAAAATTAACTGGGTGTGGTGGCACATGCCTGTAGTCCTAGCTACTCAGGAGGCTGAGGCAGGACGATTGCTTGAGCCCAGAAAGTTGAGGCTGTAGTGAGCCATGTTAGTGCCACTGTACTCTAGCTTGGGTGACAGAGTGAGACCCTGTCTCAAAAAAAAAAAGATGATGGAAGGAAGGCCAATCATACACTCAATCAACAAGCATATTATTAAAGATGTACTTACTAAGTGTAAACTGTGTGCCCATGTCTGGGCAGGATGTTCAATGGGAAGTGATATGAAATGCTACCTCTGCCCTTAAAGAGCTTACAAATCTCATGAATGATAAGCCCTATACCAAGGTACAATGCAAAACAGTTTACTTGCAAAATAAAACCATAGTTTTTTCATTTGGGTATAGCTTTTTACATTGCATAATTCTCATTATACCAATGCTGGTGACTTTGTTTAACAGGGCCCACTGTGCTGATGGCTGTCTTGTAGACGGTATCAAAGGGATTTCCTTATTTAATGTTTACGGTGATGATTGCAGATGGGGTTCTCTGCTTCAATGAGGCTGCTGGGAATTTTGTTCAAATGGCTTCACTCAGGCATACTTATTTTCTGATTGAAGGATCAAGGGAAACTTAGCCTAGAGGACAGAAGACAAAGGGGGCATGATAGCTATCAAGTATTTGAAAACGTGTCATATGGAAGAAGGATTGAATATGAGGTAGGGATACCAGACTGAGAGTAAGTTGTGTGCATCATAGGATTCAGCATTTTTCAGGATGCCTGGAGGACTTTATGGAGGGGGAAGTGGAGGATACTGTTCAGTGTTCATTTGTAAGAGTATAATCATGGTTTTCACTCCTCTCTGCCCTTGGTTTGGGGTACACAAATGTCCTGAGTTTGGCCCTAAAGTCCTGGACTTTCTTTCTCATCCTTTGACAGGTAGAGCTACAGCTGTGATGTACAACTCCTTCCCTCCCTGTTAGGTGTTGATGGGAAGAAGCATATTCTCCAGGAGAGATAACGATGGGGTGTGCTGCAGGAGGTGACTAGGGAATTCGTGTGAGTGGCAGAGCAGAAGGCTGAGTCCCTTTTTCTAAACCAAGGCACAGGGAGGGTCCTCTGGGCTGTCCTCAGCAGGGGGTCACTACAGAATCGTCTTATTTGTGGCAGTTGCAGTCCTTCCCACTGTTCATGCCTGCACATTTCCCATGCCCTGGGTGAATCCCAGAACTGGTCTCAGATTGTCTGCTGCCTCTCAGATCAAGAGCACCACTCCTTCTCCTTCTTCCCATCTTCTTCCCTGGGTAGCACCTTGCCACTGCTGAGTGACACTAACTCATCCCACTCCTCTTTAACAATTGTGCTGTTTATCAGAAAAACTACAGAGATTAGAAACCACACAAAGCCTTACTTACTCTTCCCTTGTTGGGGAAACATCTTACAGGTTTCTCATAGTTGCAAGAAATTTCTGATGATTTATTTCTAAGCAGGGAAAACAAAATAGAAGCTAAGTCTTTATCTGGAACTCTGCCTCCCACATGAGGATTTCGGGTGCTTTGGGGAAAAATTCATCCCCCGAGAAGATAATTGAGTTATTGACATTTTCTTAAGGGTAACAGGATATGGCTGGAAAGAATTAGATGGGAGGCTTAACAAGACGAATTGTAAGGCCCATAGTTTAATGAATTAGCTGAGATTCTGTATGGATTGTTCTGTGACTCAACCTCTACAGGTTTATAATCTTCATACTCAGTCCCTTAGGGATGGAAACCAAAAGCATGAACTACTAGAGAAAGACTAGAAAACTACTTGAGTTATACTGTCAACATCTTTGGTGTAAGAGGCTTCTACACGAGGTGAAGAGGTGCTGAGAGCTTTGACAGAGGCGAGTGTAAGACCCTCAGAGCAGACACCACAGTGTTGGCCGTCATATATGAACAACCTGGCACTGACACCAGTGGGCAATTGCTGAGGTAACCTTGGCTCTGTTGCATCTAAGCAGTGATGTCACTGTTAGTGTGGACCCTAAACAGAGCTGCTGCTTTTGGGCAGTATTAACGGATGTAATTATAGTCAATTGAAGCATGAAAGGAAGAAAATGCCGTGTGCCACAAAGTGGCAAAGAGGACTGATCCATGGAGTCTGTTTGATGTCTCTCTGGGGAATCCAGGGGGAATTTGAGGCTTTTAGATTTCCTGTGGGATGCAGCTAGAGTCAAAGAAAAACTGGTTAGAGACAGGCTAGTGTGGCTTAGGATGTATGAACTGCAGACTTACTCTGTTTAGCCTAACAAGAGAGTTAGTGTCACTAGTTTAGATGAGAAAGATGTTCTGATGACTAGGTCTATCCTGGTATGAAAAAAGGCTGCCTTAAAAATAGTGTTTCTTTTATTCTTGCATTTTATTTTGGATTAGTGAAGAAGTGAAGAGAATTGGATTAATCACAACCTTTTGTTCATGATACCCACACCAGCATTCTAGTGCACAGCCATAATTAATTAACTAATTAATTAAACATAAACAAGATCTGAGCTTGTAGTTACTCCAGATCCCAAAAATGGAAGCCTGACAAAAGTTTTTTTTTTTTTTTAATCACAGGAATGGTTCAAATAAAAGATAGCTGAGTACTCTCAGAGATATTTTAGAGAGTGGGTTCTTGAATTAAATGGGACACTAAAGATGATCTCTAAGAGATTTCTTTTTTAATTTCAGATTTTCTGGGTGACATTTAGTCATGTGGATGGAGGAGGTGCTACTTTTCAACACAATAGGTATATTTCTTATGAGAATGTCTATAAACTGAAAAAATTTGCTGTATGAAAGGACCATTGTGAATATGAATTTACCCCCAGAAACATAGGTGTGTGCTCTACAAGTAATTAGACAACAAAATCATACTATTTAGGTTTTTCATGGAAGACAAAAATTGAATTCTCCATAAAAGTGACTTGTCGGTTGGGCATGGTGGCTCATGCCTGTAATCCCAGCACTTTGGGAGGCCGAGGCGGGTGGATCATGAGGTCAGGAGATCAAGACCATCCTGGCTAACACGGTGAAACCCCATCTCTACTAAAAATACAAAAAATTAGCCGGGCGTGGTGGCAGACGCCTGTAGTCCCAGCTACTCAAGAGGCTGAGTCAGGAGAATGGTGTGAACCTGGGAGGCAGAGCTTGCAGTGAGCCGAGATCACGCCACTGCACTCCAGCCTGGGTGACAGAGCGAGACTCAGTCTCAAAAAAAGAAAAAAAAAAAGGGACTTGTCTAATTTTGAAAAGAATTTTAGGTTAGCTTTTCTCCATGATTTTTCTTTTTCTTTTTTTTTTATAGGTGATGATATAAATCAAACTTGAAAGATTTATTTTTAAATAAACATTTGTATAGAATCATATCATCAATGAAGACAGAGAATCTGACTTCTTCTTCTCCTATTTGGATGCCTTCTATTTCTTTTTTTGTTTGTTTGTTTGTTTGTTTGTTTTGTTTTTTGTTTTTTGTTTTTTGTTTTTTTATTATACTTTAAGTTTTAGGGTACATGTGCACAATGTGCAGGTTAGTTACATATGTATGTATACATGTGCCATGCTGGTGCGCTGCACCCACTAACTCGTCATCTAGCATTAGGTATATCTCCCAATGCTATCCCTCCCCCCTCCCCCCACCCCACCACAGTCCCCAGAGTGTGATATTCCCCTTCCTGTGTCCATGTGATCTCATTGTTCAATTCCCACCTATGAGTGAGAATATGGGGTGTTTGGTTTTTTGTTCTTGCGATAGTTTACTGAGAATGATGATTTCCAATTTCATCCATGTCCCTACAAAGGACACGAACTCATCATTTTTTATGGCTGCATAGTATTCCATGGTGTATATGTGCCACATTTTCTTAATCCAGTCTATCTTTGTTGGACATTTGGGTTGGTTCCAAGTCTTTGCTATTGTGAATAATGCCGCAATAAACATACGTGTGCATGTGTCTTTATAGCAGCATGATTTATAGTCATTTGGGTATATACCCAGTAATGGGATGGCTGGGTCAAATGGTATTTCTAGTTCTAGATCCCTGAGGAATCGCCACACTGACTTCCACAATGGTTGAACTCGTTTACAGTCCCACCAACAGTGTAAAAGTGTTCCTATTTCTCCACATCCTCTCCAGTATCTGCTGTTTCCTGACTTTTTAGTGATTGCCATTCTAACTGGTGTGAGATGGTATCTCATTGTGGTTTTGATTTGCATTTCTCTGATGGCCAGTGATGATGAGCATTTTTTCATGTGTTTTTTGGCTGCATAAATGTCTTCTTTTGAGAAGTGTCTGTTCATGTCCTTCGCCCACTTTTTGATGGGGTTGTTTGTTTTTTTCTTGTAAATTTGTTTGAGTTCATTGTAGATTCTGGATATTAGCCCTTTGTCAGATGAGTAGGTTGCAAAAATTTTCTCCCATTTTGTAGGTTGCCTGTTCACTCTGATGGTAGTTTCTTTTGCTGTGCAGAAGCTCTTTAGTTTAATTAGATCCCATTTGTCAATTTTGGCTTTTGTTGCCATTGCTTTTGGTGTTTTCGACATGAAGTCCTTGCCCATGCCTATGTCCTGAATGGTAATGCCTAGGTTTTCTTCTAGGGTTTTTATGGTTTTAGGTCTAACGTTTAAGTCTTTAATCCATCTTGAATTGATTTTTGTATAAGGTGTAAGGAAGGGATCCAATTTCAGCTTTCTACATATGGCTAGCCAGTTTTCCCAGCACCATTTATTAAATAGGGAATCCTTTCCCCATTGCTTGTTTTTCTCAGGTTTGTCAAAGATCAGATAGTTGTAGATATGCGGCGTTATTTCTGAGGGCTCTGTTCTGTTCCATTGATCTATATCTCTGTTTTGGTACCAGTACCATGCTGTTTTGGTTACTGTAGCCTTGTAGTTAAGTTTGAAGTCAGGTAGTGTGATGCCTCCAGCTTTGTTCTTTTGGCTTAGGATTGACTTGGCGATGCGGGCTCTTTTTTGGTTCCATATGAACTTTAAAGTAGTTTTTTCCAATTCTGTGAGGAAAGTCATTGGTAGCTTTATGGGAATGGCATTGAATCTGTAAATTACCTTGGGCAGTATGGCCATTTTCATGATATTGATTCTTCCTACCCATGAGCATGGAATGTTCTTCCATTTGTTTGTATCCTCTTTTATTTCCTTGAGCAGTGGTTTGTAGTTCTCCTTGAAGAGGTCCTTCACATCCCTTGTAAGTTGGATTCCTAGGTATTTTATTCTCTTTGAAGCAATTGTGAATGGGAGTTCACTCATGATTTGGCTCTCTGTTTGTCTGTTGTTTGTGTATAAGAATGCTTGTGATTTTTGTACATTGATTTTGTATCCTGAGACTTTGCTGAAGTTGCTTATCAGCTTAAGGAGATTTTGGGCTGAAACAATGGGGTTTTCTAGATATACAATCATGTCATCTGCAAACAGGGACAATTTGACTTCCTCTTTTCCTAATTGAATACCCTTTATTTCCTTCTCCTGCCTAATTGCCCTGGCCAGAACTTCCAACACTATGTTGAATAGGAGTGGTGAGAGAGGGCATCCCTGTCTTGTGCCAGTTTTCAAAGGGAATGCTTCCAGTTTTTGCCCATTCAGTATGATATTGGCTGTGGGTTTGTCATAGATAGCTCTTATTATTTTGAAATACGTCCCATCAATACCTAATTTATTGAGAGTTTTTAGCATGAAGGGTTGTTGAATTTTGTCAAAGGTTTTTTCTGCATCTAGTGAGATAATCATGTGGTTTTTGTCTTTGGCTCTGTTTATATGCTGGATTACATTTATTGATTTGCGTATATTGAACCAGCCTTGCATCCCAGGGATGAAGCCCACTTGATCATGGTGGATAAGCTTTTTGATGTGCTGCTGGATTCGTTTTGCCAGTATTTTATTGAGGATTTTTGCATCAATGTTCATCAAGGATATTGGTCTAAAATTCTCTTTTTTGGTTGTGTCTCTGCCCGGCTTTGGTATCAGAATGATGCTGGCCTCATAAAATGAGTTAGGGAGGATTCCCTCTTTTTCTATTGATTGGAATAGTTTCAGAAGGAATGGTACCAGTTCCTCCTTGTACCTCTGGTAGAATTCAGCTGTGAATCCATCTGGTCCTGGACTCTTTTTGGTTGGTAAACTATCGATTATTGCCACAATTTCAGCTCCTGTTATTGGTCTATTCAGAGATTCAACTTCTTCCTGGTTTAGTCTTGGGAGAGTGTATGTGTTGAGGAATTTATCCATTTCTTCTAGATTTTCTAGTTTATTTGCGTAGAGGTGTTTGTAGTATTCTCTGATGGTGGTTTGTATTTCTGTGGGATCGGTGGTGATATCCCCTTTATCATTTTTTATTGTGTCTATTTGATTCTTCTCTCTTTTTTTCTTTATTAGTCTTGCTAGTGGTCTATCAATTTTGTTGATCCTTTCAAAAAACCAGATCCTGGATTCATTGATTTTTTGAAGGGTTTTTTGTGTCTCTATTTCCTTCAGTTCTGCTCTGATTTTAGTTATTTCTTGCCTTCTGCTAGCTTTTGAATGTGTTTGCTCTTGCTTTTCTAGTTCTTTTAATTGTGATGTTAGGGTGTCAATTTTGGATCTTTCCTGCTTTCTTTTGTGGGCATTTAGTGCTATAAATTTCCCTCTACACACTGCTTTGAATGCGTCCCAGAGATTCTGGTATGTTGTGTCTTTGTTCTCGTTGGTTTCAAAGAACATCTTTATTTCTGCCTTCATTTCGTTACGTACCCAGTAGTCATTCAGGAGCAGGTTGTTCAGTTTCCATGTAGTTGAGCAGCTTTGAGTGAGATTCTTAATCCTGAGTTCTAGTTTGATTGCACTGTGGTCTGAGAGATAGTTTGTTATAATTTCTGTTCTTTTACATTTGCTGAGGAGAGCTTTACTTCCAACTATGTGGTCAATTTTGGAATAGGTGTGGTGTGGTGCTGAAAAAAATGTATATTCTGTTGATTTGGGGTGGAGAGTTCTGTAGTTGTCTATTAGGTCCACTTGGTGCAGAGCTGAGTTCAATTCCTGGGTATCCTTGTTGACTTTCTGTCTCGTTGATCTGTCTAATGTTGACAGTGGGGTGTTAAAGTCTCCCATTATTAATGTGTGGGAGTCTAAGTCTCTTTGTAGGTCACTCAGGACTTGCTTTATAAATCTGGGTGCTCCTGTATTGGGTGCATATATATTTAGGATAGTTAGCTCTTCTTGTTGAATTGATCCCTTTACCATTATGTAATGGCCTTCTTTGTCTCTTTTGATCTTTGTTGGTTTAAAGTCTGTTTTATCAGAGACTAGGATTGCAACCCCTGCCTTTTTTTGTTTTCCATTTGCTTGGTAGATCTTCCTCCATCCTTTTATTTTGAGCCTATGTGTGTCTCTGCACGTGAGATGGGTTTCCTGAATACAGCACACTGATGGGTCTTGACTCTTTATCCAATTTGCCAGTCTGTGTCTTTTAATTGGAGAATTTAGTCCATTTACATTTAAAGTTAATATTGTTATGTGTGAATTTGATCCTGTCATTATGATGTTAGCTGGTGATTTTGCTCGTTAGTTGATGCAGTTTCTTCCTAGTCTCGATGGTCTTTACATTTTGGCATGATTTTGCAGCGGCTGGTACCGGTTGTTCCTTTCCATGTTTAGCGCTTCCTTCAGGAGCTCTTTTAGGGCAGGCCTAGTGGTGACAAAATCTCTCAGCATTTGCTTGTCTGTGAAGTATTTTATTTCTCCTTCACTTATGAAGCTTAGTTTGGCTGGATATGAAATTCTGGGTTGAAAATTCTTTTCTTTAAGAATGTTGAATATTGACCCCCACTCTCTTCTGGCTTGTAGGGTTTCTGCCGAGAGATCCGCTGTTAGTCTGATGGGCTTCCCTTTGAGGGTAACCCGACCTTTCTCTCTGGCTGCCCTTAACATTTTTTCCTTCATTTCAACTTTGGTGAATCTGACAATTATGTGTCTTGGAGTTGCTCTTCTTGAGGAGTATCTTTGTGGCGTTCTCTGTATTTCCTGAATCTGAACGTTGGCCTACCTTGCTAGATTGGGGAAGTTCTCCTGGATAACATCCTGCAGAGTGTTTTCCAACTTGGTTCCATTCTCCCTATCACTTTCAGGTACACCAATCAGACGTAGATTTGGTCTTTTCACATAGTCCCATATTTCTTGGAGGCTTTGCTCATTTCTTTTTATTCTTTTTTCTCTAACCTTCCCTTCTCGCTTCATTTCATTCATTTCATCTTCCATTGCTGATACCCTTTCTTCCAGTTGATCGCATCAGCTCCTGAGGCTTCTGCATTCTTCACGTAGTTCTCGAGCCTTGGTTTTCAGCTCCATCAGCTCCTTTAAGCACTTCTCTGTATTGGTTATTCTAGTTATACATTCTTCTAAATTTTTTTCAAAGTTTTCAACTTCTTTGCCTTTGGTTTGAATGTCCTCCCGTAGCTCAGAGTAATTTGATCGTCTGAAGCCTTCTTCTCTCAGCTCGTCAAAGTCATTCTCCATCCAGCTTTGTTCCGTTGCTGGTGAGGAACTGCGTTCCTTTGGAGGAGGAGAGGCACTCTGCATTTTAGAGTTTCCAGTTTTTCTGTTCTGTTTTTTCCCCATCTTTGTGGTTTTATCTACTTTTGGTCTTTGATGGTGGTGATGTACAGATGGGTTTTCGGTGTGGATGTCCTTTCTGTTTGTTAGTTTTCCTTCTAACAGACAGGACCCTCAGCTGCAGGTCTGTTGGAATACCCTGCCGCGTGAGGTGTCAGTCTGCCCCTGCTGGGGGGTGCCTCCCAGTTAGGCTGCTCGGGGGTCGGGGGTCAGGGGTCAGGGACCCACTTGAGGAGGCAGTCTGCCCGTTCTCAGATCTCCAGCTGTGTGCTGGGAGAACCACTGCTCTCTTTAAAGCTGTCAGACAGGGACACTTAAGTCTGCAGAGGTTACTGCTGTCTTTTTGTTTGTCTGTGCCCTGCCCCCAGAGGTGGAGCCTACAGAGGCAGGCAGGCCTCCTTGAGCTGTGGTGGGCTCCACCCAGTTCGAGCTTCCTGGCTGCTTTGTTTACCTAAGCAAGCCTGGGCAATGGCGGGCGCCCCTCCCCCAGCCTCGCTGCCGCCTTGCAGTTTGATCTCAGACTGCTGTACTAGAAATCAGCTAGACTCTGTGGGCGTAGGACCCTCCGAGCCAGGTGTGGGATATAATCTCATGGTTCGCCGCTTTTTAAGCCGGTCTGAAAAGCGCAATATTCGGGTGGGAGTGACCCGATTTTCCAGGTGCGTCCGTCACCCCTTTCTTTGACTCAGAAAGGGAACTCCCTGACCCCTCGCGCTTCCCAGGTGAGGCAATGCCTTGCCCTGCTTCGGCTCGCGCACGGTGCGCGCACCCACTGGCCTGCGCCCACTGTCTGGCACTCCCTAGTGAGAGAAACCCGGTACCTCAGATGGAAATGCAGAAATCACCCGTCTTCTGCGTCGCTCACGCTGGGAGCTATAGACTGGAGCTGTTCCTATTCGGCCATCTTGGCTCCTCCCCCGCTTCTCCATGATTTTTCAAGTAGACCTCTTTCTTCTGAAAGATAATGAAATGAAAATACTGTCCTGACATTTTAATATCTGTGACATGTATATCAGTTATCTTTCGCTCTTTAAAAATATCATCCCAAAATGTGTTCACCTAAGACTATAACCATTTATTCAGCCCATGGATCTGAGAGTTGCCTGGGAGGCTCTGCAGGTGGGCTAGGCTCAGCTCTTCCCAGCAGGGCTGGCTGGTGGGACTGTGAGCTGTTGCCCCATTGACTGTGAGCCAGCTGGCCCAGGATGGCTTCAGCTGGGGACAGCTCCTTCCTGCTCCATGAACTGCCTCATGGTTTCCAAGAGGGGTAGACTCATGCAAGGGTCTCTTGAGGCCTAGGTCAGAACTGTCACAGCATTATGTCTGACATGTTTTGTTGGTCAGAGGAAGCCACAAGATCAGCCCAGATTCTAGGAGTGAAGAAATGTATGTCTTGACAAGAGAAGCTGAAAATTCAAATTGGAAAGAAGCATGGGTACAGGGAAGGAGAAAACTGTGGTCATTTTTGCAATTTACCATAGTATGTTACACACTGTCAAGTGCTCTCATCCACAGTATCCTTTATGATCCTCCCAAATAACACAGTGAGATAAGTAGTACAGGTATTATCATTCCCCTTTTACGTAGGTGCAAATTGAGACCAGCAATAAAGAGAGATTTTCAATGGGTCACACATTCTGGAAGTGGCATGAGCTCAAATCTGTTTTGAAAAGCATACAAGTGAAGAGAGATGTTAGTATCATCAAAGGGAGGTAAATTAATGTTTTTTAATGCTTTGCCCCATGCAGACTCATTGAGCCTTATTTAAATAACTTTTGGGAATTGAGGCAACAGGCAATTTAATGTTGATTTTTTTTTCTAAATACTGTCTTTCAATACTAAAGTGAGAGTGTAAGTCCAGATAAAGGCGCTTCTTGAAGTCTAGTTAGTGTGGGGGATATTGTGGGATTTCGAGGTCCTTTGGCCAATCCACTTTATTTCTAACTGTAATATTTTTCTTTACAGTCTCCTCTCTTGAGGTGTGTGAACAAAACACTTGAAATAAAACCGCTCACTAGATTATACCTAGGCTGTATCATTCTGCTAAAGATTGGTATGGAAGTTATAATGGAGGCAGAGGTCAAAAGTAAAGAAAACCTCCAGGTCTTTTTTTTCTTAGAAGCAGCTGAATTCTACCTACTTATTCTTTTCCATTCACTTTCATACTTAGAAATGACACTTTCTGGACAACCATCAATGACCAAATTCCATGTGATATGGTTTTACAAAAAATACAAGTTTTCAAGGAACTGAAACCTAAATTCTTGTTTGTAGGTTCTTGATATCTTAGTTATCAAGGGACACAGGAATGTCATAAAGTGGCCCAAGTTTCTGGACACACAAACTGAAGTGTTACCTGTAGAAATTTATTCTTTTTTGAGTAATTAAATCATTTAATTTATGTGAAATTCCTTAATATACTTCCTGATTCACATAAAAACTTTTTAGTTATAAAGCAAATGACTCAGGGAAAGTTAATTTCTCAAAACATTTTTAATTTAAATTTTCTCATTAACTACCATATTTGAAGCATGATATTCAGATATCACATTTAATTTTCACAATGCCTTCCTGAAAGGTGTATTGCCTTAGTTTTATGAAAGAAGAAATTGGACTTGGAACCCCCTTGAGACACATTTTTGTCCCAAACTCAATT
The DNA here is from genome assembly GCF_000001405.40 of Homo sapiens. Taxonomy (NCBI): domain Eukaryota; kingdom Metazoa; phylum Chordata; class Mammalia; order Primates; family Hominidae; genus Homo; species Homo sapiens. Next base: position 77,181,162 of record NC_000012.12, read on the forward strand.
CCAAGCTTTGGGTCAAAGCCCTAGGAAAGAAAACCCAATCAGGAATTCAGAGGCAGATGGCAACAGAGGTTAAAAGGCACATCGCAGTTAAGCATGGACTCCTTATAATAAGCCAAAGGCTAAGGTGAAGCTGTGGAATTAACTCCTCCAACAAGGGAGAGAAAAGAATGTCTTGTGACACACCAGGATAACTGGTAGTTATGCTTGCTAGGATTTGGGTGCATGGTGCTTGGCTTTGGTTAACCCCTTTAGTCTTACTTTCTCAAAAGGAAACTTCCAAGTCATGAGCATTTTATTTATTCTCATCACCTGGCAGGATTTGCAGGATAATTGCTCAGAACCAGAATATTGATCCAGAATTTTATATTACCCATCCCTCTTGTTCTTTCTGAGCTGCAGCCAGGGATTGCTGGTTGGTTTACAGGAACAAGCCGAGTTAGTCTAAAATGTAGGCAAAAACTTAAAAAAAAACTGGTGAGTTTGGAACTTAATGACAAATATATGATAAGCTTTGGAATATGATTTATCTCTCTCCAGTCCTCATGTTTGTTAAAAAACAAATTATCATAGGACTGAGTGGTTTGCAAAATAGACTTTAGTCTTATATTTGGCCTGATTATTTGCATAAAATGCAGCAGAAATAATTATTTCTACATAGACCTTTTGGATTGGCTTTGATGGGCGTGTGTTCCACAAGGGATCACAGATAAGACCTTTTAAAGCCCAGCCCAGCCATGGGTTTGCATCCTCAAATGCCTGTGAGTTGGGGGATTCTTTCCTCTTAAGGTCCCAATATAAACTTGGAGCTCGTGAATCTGTTAGAAAGTGACATTCTTTACTGACCACAGGTCAGAAACCTCATACAGGGACTGCATAGACAAGGGAATGAGGCCAGTTTCCCCACTGGGCTTGTATCGGCTCTGCAAGTTGAGCTTGACTCCTTAAAGGGAAGCATACCCTTCCAGTCAAAGCCTTGGTAAAATACCCAGTTTTTCCAGTTGCATCCTGTTGCAAAAGAAAAAATGGATTCTTATTGAACTGATGCAAACAACTGTATCACCATAAGTTAAGAATTCTTGGCCAGGCGCGGTGGCTCACATCTGTAATCCCAGCACTTTGGGAAGCCTACGTGGGTGGATCACGAGGTCAGGAGATCAAGACCATCCTGGCTAATGTGGTGAAACCCCGTCTCTACTAAAAATACAAAAAATTAGCTGGGCGTGGTGGCGGGCGCCTGTAGTCCCAGCTACTCGGGAGGCTGAGGCAGGAGAATGGTGTGAACCCAGGAGGCGGAGCTTGCAGTGAGCCACCAAGATGGTGCCATTGCACTCCAGCCTGGCCGACAGAGCAAGACTCTGTCTCAAAAAAAAAAAAAAAGAAAGAAAAAAAAGAAAGAATACTCACAGATAGTTTCCAAATTCTAGAGGAACTAGGAAGAGAGAAACAAACATGCTCCAAATTTTGATCCCAAGAGTATACCCTACTTAATTATTAAAGTCCGCAAATAGTTCAAAATAAGTTTCATTGACTCTGAAAACAAGAATAAGCAATATTCTAAGCAAAAGTCAAAAGGTTGCTTCAGCTTTCTGAGTTCAGTCCATTTGGTTAACTCTGGTTTTGCTTGATATTTGTAAACATTTCAACTCTTCATGAATCTTGTACATTTTCCTTTATTCTAATATTACAATCTCCAAAGTTATCAGAAGCCTGTATTTTAGAGTACCTGTTATAGTTCCATAGCTTATTATAAACCATCTTTTGAAGAGAATTAAAACAAGACAACAATTTTCTGTGAATAACAAAATGTCCAGGGTAGTTACAGTTAGAAACACAATTGACATTTTCTTTGTCCATTCATTTGTTGATGAACACTTAGGTTGCTTCTAAATCTTGACTATTGTGAACAGTGCTGCAATAAACGTGGGAGTGCAGATATCTCTTCAATATACCGATTTTCTTTCTTTGGGGTGTATACTAAGCAGTGGAATTACTGGATCGTATCGTAGTTCTGTTTTTAGTTTTTTGAGAAACCTCCAAACTGTTCTCCATACTGGTTGTACTAATTGACATTCCTACCAACCATATACAAGGGTTCCCCTTTCTCCACATCCTTGTCAGCATTTGTTATTGCTTGTCTTTTTGATAAAAGCCATTTTAACCAGGGTGATATGTGTATTAGTCTGCTTTCATGCTGCTGATAAAGACATATCTGATACTGGGCAATTTACAAAAGAAAGAGGTTTAATGGACTTACAGTTCCATGTGGCTGGGGAGGCCTCACAATCATGGTGGATGGTGAAAGGCATGTCTCACATGGCAGCAGACAAGAGAAGAGAGGTTGTGCAGGGAAACTCCTTGTTATATAATCATCAGATCTCATAAGACTTATTCACTATCATGAGAACAGCACGGGAAAGACCTGCCCCCATGATTCAATTACCTCCCACTGGGTCCCTCCCACAACACATGGGAATTCAAGATGAGATTTGGGTGGTGACACAGCCAAACCATATCATGGCTACTATGAAACAAACTGATATGAACATTCTTATGCAAGTCTTTTTGTGGACATTGGATATACATTTTTATTTCTCCTGGAAAAATACTTGGGCAATGGAGTAGACATATTTTTAACATTGTAAGAAACAGTCAAACTACTTTCCAAAAGAGTTATACCATTTTATAACCTTACCAGCAATATACGAGTGTGCTAGTTGCTCCACATCATCAGTAGCCTTTGGTGTTGTCAGGATTTTCTATTTTAGACATTCTCATATGTAGCATGTACCCATTTGACTTATTTTGCATTTCCCTAACATCTAATGGTACTGAACAAAATTCTCTTTCTTATTGTCATTTTTATACCCTATTTGTGAGGTGTCTATTTAAGTCTTTTGATCATTTTTATTGTATTATTTGGGTCTTATTGAATTGTAGGAGTCTCTAATATGTTCTAGATATATATACTTCATTATATGAAGTATTGTGCATATTTTTTCCTAGTCTGTGGCTTATTTATTCATTTACTTAAATGAGATCTTTTGATGAACAGTAGTTTTAAGTTTTGGTAAAGACCAATTTTCCAATTTTTAATTTCATGATTAATGCTTTGTAAAAAAATATTTGTTTGCCTTGATGTTGTGGAAATATTCTTCTATGTTTTCTTGTGGAAGCTTTATAATTTTAGCTGAAAAGTTCAGGCCTATTATCTATTTTAAATTATTATTTTTATATAATAATACAAATGATAATCTTGAACATAATGACCAAGATTCATTGTTTTTTTTCCTATGAATATGCCGTTATTTCAGCTCTATTTGTTGAAAATGCTTTTATTTCTTCCATTGAATTGATTTTTGCCTTTGTCAGAAGTCTTTTAAACATATAAGGGTGAGTCCATTCTGGACTTTCATTCTGTCCCAATGCATTATTTTTCTATTCTTACACCAATAGCATGCTGTCTTGATATTGTAGCTTTATAGAAAATCTTGTACTTAGATAGTATTAATACTCCAAATTTATTATTTTTCTCTTTGAGCTTTTTAAGTCCTTGGACTAGTCATATAAATATTAGAAATAGCTTGTCAATTGCCACAAAACAGTCAGACCTTTCTTAATCGGCAAATTTTTCCTTTATTGCTTTGAATATTGATATTTTTTCTTTCTGGAATTTCCTATTAATCAGAGGTTGAAGTACCAGGATCTATCTCTGTCTCTCTTCTTTTCTGTTCATAGTTTAAATTATTTAGGGCTTTCATGAGAGTTCTGGGTGTCTTTCTCAAATTTATTTTTTAGTTTACTGATTTCATTTTCTGTATTTTTAATTGCTTCTATTGTGGCTTTAATTTGGTTTTTATTTTCAACTAATTCTTAATCTTAGATTTGCCCCTCTTACTTATTTATTTATATTTCTCAAATATAAATCAACTCAGTGTTCCCTGGAATCTTTCTGACACATGGATTGGTTATTTTTAAAGATTATTTGATTCTGGTAGCAAATCAAAAGAAGGAAGAAGTCAGGGTTGCTTTATTTTCTCTTTTTAACCTAACACAGTGCCTGACACATGGTAGTTACTCAAAAAGTTCCTGTTGAGTCACAGGATAAGTGTAATTTTTCTAAGTGCTTCCCTTTATTTATACTCCCCCAATTTTTAAGTGTATCATGATTTTTCAGTGTTCTTTTTCTTCCAGAAGGTTGCCTATGCTTGCCAACCTTTGTAGGAGTTGAGTGGGTTCTGTTAGAAACTGGTATGCTTCTTGTTCTCCCTGAATGTTCCACAGAGGTCCTTCAAGTCTAGACAGAGGGAAGTACAGAAGAGCAAACAACCAAATCAACAAAAATCTCACAGTATGTCACCAATATAAGAGGATCAGGGAGGGAGCAGGTGCAGGTCATCGTGGCCGGGAGATATGTCACTGCACTACATTGTGTATTAATTTTCTCCCATATTCCCACTTCTTGCCTGCATTGGTTCTGTCTGTGCTAGAAGAAAACCATGAAGCCTTCCAGTGTTGGCTGCCAGGTCTGGTGCTATCAGTCTGGAAAGACAGGAGAGCAGGAATCTACTCATGATCATGTTTCCTGCCTCTGGTTCTGGATGTCCCTGTAGTGAATAAGGGTTGGTTGAAGTATCCTTTTACTTATTGCCTAATGTTTTGATCCCCACAGGACTTTTCCATCCTTACCACTTTCTGGTATGGAGAGCTGGAGCCCCCTTCTAGTGTCTGATGCTGAGGCAGTGTTTTCCATTTGAATATTCCATTGGTCACTTCAGTAGGAATTTGGGAAGAAAGCTAGACAAATATGCTCATGGTAGCTACCTTTTGCAGAAGTCACTCAGATTCTAAATGCCCTACTGTAGTACAAGATATCATTTAATAGCTTGAAATGAATGTCCAGTTTCAAGTTCCTTTGTGTCCCCAGCTGTTCCAGAATAACTGAGAGGTTTCCTCTGTTCCAGACCTAAAAGTATTACTCTCCTAATGATAGGGCCTATGTTTTCAACCAAGTATTGTCTGAGCTCATAGTTTGAAATGTCCCCTACCAAATGTTTTTTTCTTCCACAAACTATTATTTTAAATCTGAAAACACAGATATCGATAAATCAGTGACGTATGCCACAGATATGTACATTTAGTGACATTTGTCTGATGTACTGGGAAAAGAAATAGAATCATCCTTTGCTAGGTTTCTTCAGTCAAGAAAGATTGAATGTCAGTACGTTGGAGTTCTTGCTGTTTTTTTTTGACTTTTTGGCTCTCTTAGTATATCTGTGCTTAATGCAGTAGGAGTAGCAGCAACAAAATAAAATGACTGTGCTTTGCAAAGAAGGAAAATGCCCTGTACAGCTTCATCATAGAGCACAATAGATGGGTTGCCTTGTAAATGCTTTTAGCTAGAAAGGGTTCTGGTTCTGGGCTGCTACACCACTGCTCTGCTCATGAGTAGTGTCCCTGAAATGCACTTTATTATCAGTTTCTAGCACCAACAAATTTAAACAATTAGAACTTAAGCTTGGCAATTTAATTACTTGACAGCTAAAGAAGATTGCATATTGCAGAGAGAGCAATAGATGTATTTTATGTGGCAAGTGGATGGTCTCACTCGCCATGATTCACTTACCTGCTGTTTTGTGTGAACAGTCTTTGTCAAAGTGATGGGTGACACAAAATGCTCAGCTAACACAAAACACATATTACTATTTTAACACAATATTCAGAGGCAATCTTTGTTCTTTGTATATACAAATTTCATGCAGATAAAGATCAACTAACAAATATTTATTGAACCTCCTAGGTTACGTTCAGTTCCTTGCTAGACTCAGCAGAGGATAAAAATATACATAAAATAGTTCCTTATAGGAAAGTTTGAGACAAAATCATTCATAGAAGAAATCTATGTAGCCTTATCTGTTCTAACACATCTTAATAAGTTAAGTTCAAGTGTTTGTTGGAATTCTTTTTATGTTGGCCTTTTAAAAAACCCGTAGTTAGGGTTGGGCATGATGGCTCATTCCTATAATCCCAGCACTTTGGGAGCCCAAAGCAGGGAGGACTGCTGCTTGAGCCCAGAGGTTGAAGACCAGCCTGAGCAACATAGTGAGACCCCATCTCTGCAAAATAAAAAAATAAATAATGAATAAATAAATAAATAAATAAAAGAATTAGCTGGGTGTGGTGGTACATGCCTATAGTCCCAGCCACTCTACAGTCCCAGCTACTTGGGAGGCTGAGGTGAGAGGCTTGTTCGAGCCCAGGAAATAGAGGCGGCAGTGAGCCATGATGGCACCACTGCACTCCAGCCTCGGGGACAGAACAAGACCCCCATCTCTAAAAGGAAAAAAAAGCCAACACTGTTTGAAAAAAATAGAATTGGACTTTTGCATTTAATAAATAGAACTGATTTTATTCAGTTGTACTAGATAAGTAATCCCTACACTTCAGTGGATTCTGTTTTAATGAGTGAAACACCAAGTAAATGAACAATTGCAGTGTGATTAGTAGTTTAATAGAGGTCTGTATAGTTTTTTATGGGCATATTGCCTTATCTTAGTTTTGATTATTTGGAAAGATTTCTCAGAAGCAGGAATATTTGAGCTCTGTCTTGAAAGTTGAGAAGGCTATGCTCAGGATTCCATCATTTGCCACCCACTCACGAACCTCAAGCATTTGAACATACTCTAGAGGAAGCCAGGCTTCCTCTGCTCCCATTGACTCTTCATTTCAGCACAATTTGCTTCCACCCATACCACTTCCCTGATTGGCTCTTGTCAAGACCACCAAGAACCTAAAGACTTCAAAGGACAATATTCAGTTCCCACCTTACTTGAATGCTCTTCGTATGTTTTATCAGCTCTTCCTTCTTGATAAACATGCTTCTTCCTTGCCTTCCATGAAATTAACATTTTCTGATTTTTCTATCGCTTTGGCTACTTTTCTTCATTTTCCAAAAGTGATTTCTCCTTTCTAATCTTTAGGTGCTGATGCTTCTTATGGCCACATCCTAGGACCCTCTTCTCTTGCCTCCCTGGGAAATTGCATTCCGCCCCAAGGACCATACATATCATGTGTATTTTTAAGACTCTATCCCAGACTTCTCTCCTGAGAACTTCTCATAAATGTTGAAGTACTCACTTTGCATATCTATTTGAATGCCATATAGGCATCTCAGATTAAATTGTTCAAAACCAAATGTATGATCTTCCCCTTGAAATCTATTCTTCCTTCAGGTTTTTTGCTTAAATCAATTTCTCAAATATAAAACTTTGGATTAATTTTCAATATCTCCTCCCTTACTCCACACAAACATCAAGTCTTAAGGACTTTGCATCTAAAATATATTTTGAATCTGTCTTCTGTTTTCTAGTTCTGTATCCTCTACCTTGAATTTAAGTTCTTTTTCCCCCTTCCTATATTGTCCTCATAAAGGAAGTATGATCTTTTAAGAAGACAAATCAGATCATGCAACTTACTTGCACAAATTGCTTCTCTGGATTCTCATTGGGTATGGGTCCTGCATGATCTGGATTTGTTCCTGGTCCTGCTCTCTCTGTGATGTCAAAAAATCTAGGTAACTATCTTGAAATATCATGAAAATATCTTTCATCCAGATTTTAATATACATAACCAGCAAATAGTTGGATTGAGGCTTTGAGGAACATCCTCTGAATTTACATTTTGGCAATACTAAGGGGGTGCTCACTGTGTGGTTTCATATTCCCATATCTTTTATTACTATTTCCTCTGCCAGGAACCTCCCTCCTTTGCCTGGCATTTTCTCCCTGGGATTGTTCCTATAACATTCATGTATGGCAAAATTTCTCACTTTTGTCTGTTCAAAAACTCTATGCAATTAAAAAAATAACCCACAGTTATTGAGTATTAACTCTACACCAGGGGTCATTCTAGGTGATTTAAATATATCTTCTCACTTAATCTTCACAACAGACCTGTCAGTCAAGTACAATTATCATTTCTATTTTACAGATGAAGAAATTGAGGAAGTTGGAATTTAAGTAACATGAAATTACATGATGGTGTTAGAATTTCAACTCAGACTTTCAGACTTTTACTACCTACCTGTCTGCTAACCACTGTGCTTTTTACACAATCTTAGGGGTTGTAGTCACCACTAGACTGTAAGTTTGCAGACTTAAGGAACTCTCTTATTTACTGCTATATCCTTATCACCTACATGAATGTCTGGCATATAGAAAGTACTCTGTAAATAGTTGTTTAAACAAATTGAATCAATTGGCTGTCTTGATATTGTATAGACAGAATTTCATTTCTCTTCTTGGCTTAGAGCTCAGTGGGTATTTAGTGCTAATGGAATTTATAACCATTATGGAATGTATGTGGTAGAAAAAACCCCAGCATCCGAAGATCACAAGTTCTTTGTGAAACATTATCCATTTGGCTGTGGTTTGCTTAGTCGTGTTCAAAGGTCTGTGATTAGTTCTCCTTGCTCATCTCTTAGGCCGCCTTAGGCTGATGTTACAAGGGCTTTAAAGCAATCATCTTTGGCAGCTGAGCTCTTAGCTGGTAATCATCACACTATTAAGAAGTACTTGGCTCGATGAGTATCAGAACAGAGGGAAGAAGTTATCAGATCTCTTGGCTTTCTAATACATATGAGAGGAAATTGATATGGTTCAAGAAGATGACTCTATGATACGTCATATGTATGTATTTTTTAAAAAAACAATTTCCACTGTACTTAACGTTCTCTAGTATTTTGGGTAGGTAAAGAAAATTAACAGTGATAGTAATTTTAGTGCTTATAATTACTGACTCATTCCCACTTCCTGGGAACAGTAAAGTTTTACATTCTTGCAACAATGCAGAAATAGGATTTTTTTTTCCTTAGCTATAGATCATGAGCCACAGATGGGGAAAGATTTCAGGTTTTTCTTTTTACTCCAAAGAAAGCAGAGATTTTAGCACAGAAAACACGCATTATGAAGCACTTTGGGTTAAACGAAGGCTCCAACATACCCAGTAATTTATTGCAGGCAGCATGTTTCATTCTATGTGAATGTGATTGCAGTCCCACAGCATCAATGGCGTAATGGTTTCTCTGCATACCAAAATGTTTAGCAAAGCCACTTGTTTCCCTGTCCTTTTATCTTATGCACATGGGATTGGTCAACTGTGAGCTGAGAAAAGAAAGACAGATTTTCATAACTAAATTGCATTTGACTTTGTTAACTTTAATTTATGAAATAGAGATTATGTTTAATTGGAAAAAGAGGTCTAGTTTTGGAACATTTGTTCAGTGAGATTAATAAAAAAATAACCTCAACTGCACTTTTGTCGATTATAAAAGTGTGTCGTAAGTCACAACACAGTTGTGTTCTTTCATTTATTCTTCTATTTAGTTAGGGTGGCATGAATTTCAGAATGAAAACCAGCATGATCATATTATTTAAGTACTGCTAAATCACTTATTATTAAAAAAAAATCATATTATTTAAGTACTGCCTCATATCACTTTTCAAGTAGCATATAAAACTAAGGCCTGACCTTTTCATGCTCGTTTGAATTTGCTGTGTCTCTTCATGCAACACTGGGGCTTCCATTTCTGCCATTGTGGCCCAAATGGCCAAGCAATCCCCCTGTAGTTTTTTCTCACTTCTGTTACCACTGTGTAGCTATTATATTTGGCTGAAAAAATGACTGAATTTCAAAAAGCTCAAGGTGGGAGTCACATGAAGCAATGCTTCTTTTCTCATAAGAAAGCTTCAAGAGAATTCAACAGTAAGGACGCCTGGTAAGCTGTTGTGTGACGTAGTCCAAAACGCTGATAGCCATGTTAGAATGCAGGATTGCTCTGCAGTGAATCCCAATGTAACATTGGCTTTCAAAAGACAGAAGTTCATTTATTTTACAAGAAATAGTCCAAGGGTAAGCAGACAGAGCTGAAGGCTACCCTTCATCCAGGACCCAAATTCCCGCATTGTTGTTCTGCTGTTCTCAACCTGTGGCTTCCATCTTAATGGTCTAAAATAGCTGCCTCAGCTCCCACTGTCATGTCTGCCTTCTAGCCAACAGTAAGGGGAGTAGGTGAAGTGGAGACAATGCTTTTTTTCCATCAATATCGTGACAGAGAAATTCCACCCATCATTTCACTCACATCCCATTAGTTGTATGAGCTAACCTAGCTGCCAGGAAATTTGGGAAATATAATCTTTGATTGAGTGGCCTAATTAAAATCAGGGGTTTTGCAATTCATGGAAAAAGGGAAGAATGGATTTTGGAAAATAATTGATAATGCTATAATCACTGCCAGTAAAAAGAAGTCATAGAGAAATAATATGGTGCAAGGGTAAGTAGATGATTATCCTTTAGTTCTGGCAACCTGTAAGTGTATAAGATACAGATACTAATTACAGTTATTTAAAGCTGAAAACCTATGTACTAGATGGACATCAGGTAAATCATAGAATTGATGAAAACGTTGGAGAACTAACTAGGCATAGATCTAGGCTCAAGACAGACATCCAAATCACAGCATGGGATGGTCTTCTTATAACCGGTACTACTGATGACACCACCTCTAGATTCTTGGCTTCTTGATTTTGTTGCCAACATCATCACTGGAAACTAGCTACTGGCCGTTGCCAAAGCTGAAACCAAATTATAAACTGTTTCTCCTTTGAATATTCATGCCAGACTCAAAATCCTAGATAGGACACCAGATTTGTTGAGTTTAGCACATGAGTCTTTATTCTAGCTGCCAGGGGCTAGGAACAAAAGTATTGGCAGTGATAGGTGAAATTCTGTCTTGCATGAAGACTGCCCTGTTCAGTGGTGAACCTAAAGCACGGAAAGGGGTTCATTTTCTGAGAAGCCGTTTTTTAAAATGCCAAAATGTACATTATAGTGACCAAAGTATTTTTCAAATAGGGCAAAAGTAGTTTAAGTCCTTAAGTGCATGGTTTTGGAATTAGAAAAAATCTGGGTTGTAATCATTGCTCTATAAAATGGGGGTATTAATAATGGCTAATTCCTAGAGTTTTGTGGATAATATAAAGTACATGCTTAATAAATTCAGGAAAAAGGAAAATATCTTAATTTTTAAAAATATCTTCAGATTTGTAAAATGCTTTCTTCCTATCTAGACAGTCCTAATGTTATAGTTTCATCCATATCATTAGCTTAGTAGCCATATTTCAACTCAGTTAACAAATAGATGCTGACATTCTAAAATTAACTTGAGATCTGTAATAAACCAGATTAACAATTGGGGTGATTTGGTACTCATCCTAAAGTTACCCAGATTTATAAGCTAGGTGAAGAAAACATTGTATACTACCATTTTGTTTATTTATTTATTTATTTTTGAGATAGGATCTTTCTCTGTCACTCAGGCTGGAGTGCAGTGACACAATCATAGCTCACTGCAACCTCAAACTCTTGGAGTGAAAGTGATTATCCCACCTCAACCTCCTGAGTAGCTAGCACTACAGGTACATGCCACCACTCTCAGCTAATTAATTTTTTTTTTTTTTTTAGAAACAGGGTCTCACTATGTTGCCCAGTCTGGTCTTGAACTCCTGGTGTCAATTGATTCTTCTGTCTCAGCCTCTGAAAGTGCTGGGATTACAGGTACGAGCTTCTGTGTCCAATCTGTATACTACATTTCACAGTTGATTAAAGTCAGCAAACTTGTCCCTAAAACTGAGAAGTACCAAGAATAACATCTCAAACTCGTATTCCTGTAATAGTTCTCCAAAGATTTTTTTTATTTTTATTTTTTATGATATCTTTTTTTTAAATTATACTTTAAATTTTAGGGTACATGTGCACAACGTGCAGGTTTGTTACATATGTATACATGTGCCATGTTGGTGTGCTGCACCCATTAACTCGTCATTTAACATTAGGTATATCTCCTAATGCTATCCCTCCCCAATCCCCTCACCCCACAACTGGCCCTGGTGTGTGATGTTCCCCAACGAATGGCTTTTGTTTCCTTCTTTCAGAAGGGAATTCTCCTTGACCGTACGTTTGCCCTGATAATACAAGACATTTGAAACTTTTTTCCACCAACTACTTTAAACTTTTACCTCAAAAAACATTGTAAGCAGCATTAGGAAGAATGGCAAAGGAGACTTAAATACCTCTACAGGTTGCCAAAAATACAGGTTGGCTGTTGTTCAGCACCTGGAAAATTCGTTGAGATCATATGGACTGTCAAAATTTCAGTGTACTGGAGAAGAAAGCTCCCTGCAGTGACAGTATTGAATTAAAAAAAGTATTGTAAACAGTGGCTCTAGGGGATTACTGTGGTCATTCAAAAAGCTGCACATTCTGCTGTTAACAGAGAAATTATCCACTAAATTATAAACTCAGTTGTGGAGCAAGCAACCAGAGGCAGAACTGGAAAGAGTTCTTTGGGCAAATGAGATCAACGTCCTTTTACTTTAACTCTTAGGTGTCTTAGACTTAGACATATACTCTGTCCTTGAATATAAAGGAGCAAAGTCAATGTAGTAAAAATTAAAGTCTTTTGGTTTGCTTTCTGTGATTGTTTAAAAGTAAGATTACTATCTGTTCAAAATGTCTATAATAGTAAAATAGACACAAATTATGAATGACCTAAAGTTATGAAAATATTTTAAAGTATCTCGACAGCTTTTTAAAATTAGAATTTGCACACCACAATTTGAATAATCGTTTTTGAGATTTGTCAACCTAAGTTCTATGAGTATTGGTTTTATATATTCCTGAGGTAAAACTGATTTTATTCATTTTCTTTAGACTCAGATGAAACTTGCAAATTGATGCAGGAAATCTACCCGCCAACCTATTTATCTTTCTCTCATCCCAGGTACTGTATGATGTTATTAACAGATTGGAAAATAAATCTGCTTTTATTAAGTTTCAGAGATTATAAAAATATTGTGATAATATATATTGGCTAGGTAAATCTAGGATGTTATTATATTTCTCTCCTATCAAAGAGGAAAAGTGATGTAAAATTTGTAAAATGAAAGACGAGGCAAAATGAAAGAGGCCACATATATACTGTGTTAAAGGAGGGTTTACAAAATACTTGACTGTTCCATCGAAAAAGAAATCTTAATTTTAGATTTCAAGAAGAAGCTATAGTGTAGGGTATGTGTGTGTGTGTGTGCGTGTATATTGTTAAAGTACTAGTTGCTCTATTTCTTTAAGTGAACTGACCAGCATCATCTCTCTCTTTATTCTCACCACAAGGAGTAATAGAAATTTTGCCAAATCCTAAATATTCTTAAAATGATCCACAACAGGATGGTGTTACCTATAAAGAGCTTAGCCTCAAACAATGAAGAGTAAGAATATTTTTCTAATTAACTTTATTTTTTAAGTATAAAACTAGTACCTTCTAATTATGGAAAAATTTGTAGAATACAAATAAATAAATAAATGTTATAGCACATTTGCCACTTAGAGTTAATCACGATCAACATTTGGTTCACTTCATTCCAATCTCCCCACTGCCCAGTATACATAAAATGATGCAGAGCCATTAAGATGATGTCCATGAAAAATCGTGGAAGCCATGGGAAATTGCTCAGAAAATAAAAAAAATTACATGATACAGAACTATGTGAACAAGTTCCAGAGTATCTTTAATACTTACTGAACATTAAACAGCAGCAGCTCTTTATTTACACACAATCAGCGGGGTCGTTTTTACTAGGTATTCTCCTCTTCTTTATTTGTTTGCACATCTAGACTAGATGATTCTTTATGGGTCCCAATGCCTGGATTTGGTTTTTAAAACAGTTTAAATTGGGGGTAGAATATGCTATGTGGCTAGAGAAAAAATATCATCTCAAAATTATTATATAAATAAAGGAAATTAACTGATAGCATGGGTATTTCTTTGCTTTAGAAGGCCTGGGATTTACATAGAGAGGTTCAAAACGTGTACAGAGTAGAAACGGCAGGTGTTGAAAAGTGAGTTTTGAATTTACATCGCCTGTTTCAAGCAATAGCATTTCACCACAGGTTGCCTTATGAACTTTTATTTGATGACAGGAGATGTTCCAAAACAAGTTCTAACTTCTCAAATGATGGAGATGTTAATAAGAAATTTATCACAGTTCTAGTCATCCTTGTTTGCTCATGGGTGCCTCTGGGTAACATCTACAATGGCTAGTTACAATTCCCCATTTATTTGGCCTTAGGATTTAGGTATCATATAGAGCTGATCTTTTCTTTCAGAGTTCTAATTTAATCCTGATATTTATCTTAATAAAATTAGCCCTGGTGTTTCTCCATTTATATCAAGACTGGTTCTTTCATGGTGATTCTCCAGTCTGAACTGAAAATATTATAGGCCCAGTCTGGGGCTCTGTAAAATATGTATTTATGGTTCTTCAGATCTCTAGGTGAAAAATCATCATGACTTGAGGATATTATTGTTATAGAATGGTGGATTTTCTGCAGAGAGGTTTCATCACAACACAAAGATATGAACTTCATTGTGGGAAATACTTTGATGAGTTCAAAAGAGTAACTCAGGATGAATGCTGCTGTCTGGTCAGTGTGTCCTGGAATGGCACGTCAGCTTAGGTTGCCTTTTGAGTGTGAATGTTAGTGATAATCAAAGCAAATTTCCTACAGCAGCTGAGTTCCTGCATTGCTTTCAGCTTTGTGATGGGAGGACTATATTACAGTCATAGGATGGATACCACTTGGTTTCAGGTGTCAAAGCCATAACTCATGACCCATAAAGAAGACTGATTCTACATTAAAATGTGGAATTAATTACGTGAAATAGGAGCTCACCAAAATGAGTATTCATTGTGAACCCAGGTATTTGAGGGAAGGCTTTATGGTTGAGGTAGAGACTGAACTGGGCTTGGAAGAAAAAGCAGATTTGGAAAAGGCAGAAAGAAGAGCAAAGAAAATCTTACTGGACAGATGGGCAGGGAAGGGTGTGTTTGATTTTGGAGGATATAATTCCCAAAGGAATTTGGATTTGATATTGTAACTCTAGGATGTTAACTAGGTATCAATTTGCATGTCAACTCTGTTTGAGCAGTAGTGGTTGTTAGGTGATGGCTGTGCTGAGAAAGATTCTAAGCCTGGTCAAAGGCTAAAGGACCTGGATCCTAGATTAGTAATATCTGCCAAGGGGAAGGAGGGACAGGTTTGGCATAACTGCTACATAATTGTCTAGGATGCAGTAGAAAACACAGCAGAGGATTTTTTAAATAGCCAAGACACCTTGAAATATAAAACCTTCAGCAAACATTTTGTATTTCAACTGTAGAAAACAAAGATATGAACAATATTTGTCAGTAGAAATATTGTTTAACATGACACAATGAAGTTCAAATCACTATTTCTTCAGTTGATATAGGGAACTTAGTTTTGAAACATTTTTTCTGGGGAATAACTTGTTGGACACTTCTAAAATAAATTGAATTCATCAGGCAGGAAGAAAGTAATTTTTTCCAAAATTTATTAATGTTAAGATTTTATTTTGCCTATAAATTTAAAATGCTAAGTATTAAGTATTATTTCAGCCTCTTTAGTCGAGTGATCACTTGGGAGAAGATGCTCTTCATTTTTCCAAATAATTAATTTATTGTAATTTCTAATTGTTCATTGTGGTATTTTGAAAGTTAGTTGATTTTTACATATTGAAATTGTATCCTGTGTCATTGCTAAGCTCACTCATGAGTTCTAGTAGCTTTTTTTTTTCGAATCTTGAATCCTTTGGGATTTTATACAAAGACAATCATGTTTTCTGCAAATAGACATGAGACAGTTTTATTTCTTGTTTTCCAATCTGTATGACTTTTAGCCATTTTTCTTGCCTTATTGCACTGCCTAGCACCTCCAGTATGATGTTGAATAGAAGCAGCAGAAGTGGATATGCTTGTCTTTTTTGTAATTGTTGAGGAAAAGCGTTGAGTCTTTTCCCACTAAGTATGATGTCAGATATATCTCTACTCATTTTATGTTTACTTGTTCTATTGATCACTGAGAAAGGATTGTTGAAATCTTTAACTATAATTATGGATTATCTATTTTTTTCTTGCATTTTTAACAGGTTTTTCTTGATGTGTTTTGAAGCATTGTCGTTAGGTGTATTTCCATTTAGGATCGTTATGATGTTTTGTGAATTGATCCCTTTATCATAAAACCCTTATCTTCATCCCTGGTAATATTGTCATTCTAAAATCTACTTTGTCTGGCCAGGCATGGTGTTTCACATCTGTAATCCCAGCACTTTGGGAGGCCAGGGTGGGTGGATCACTTGAGGTTAGGAGTTCAAGACCAACCTGGCCAACGTGGTGAAACCTCATCTCTACTAAAAATACAAAAAATCTATATATATATATATATATATATATATATAAAATATTATTTTTAACATATATGTTGTCTAATATTAATATAGCCATCTCCAGCTTTATTTTGAGTGTTTCATGGTGCCTCTTTAGCCACCTTTTACTTTTAACCTATGTATGTATTCTTACTTAAAATGGATCTAATAATAGGATCTTGCTTTCTTATCCAATCTATTTCTTTGAATAGCTGTATCTAGATAATTTACATTTAATTTTATAATTATTGATATGGTTGGATAAAAATATCTATCATATTGCTAGATATTTTCTTCTTGTTCTGTATTTTTTTGTATCATTTTTATTTTCTGCACCTTTAAAAATTATTTTTATAATTACGTTTTATCTCCATTATTGGCTTGTGTTTTATACCACTTAAAAATTTGTATTGATTTTCTTAGGTTTTATAAAAATATGTATCTTTAGTCACAGCTTGCCTTCAAATAATATTATATTACTTCATGTGAAGTGTAAGAATCTTATAGCAATGTACTCTCAATTCCTGCTGCTCCCAATACTTAGAGCTGTTGTTGTCATGCATTTTACTTTTATGTCTGCAATAAACACATACAACACTGATTCCATTATTGCTTTAGATGGTCAGTTATCTTTTAGAGTAAGTAAAAACTGGGGAAAAAGAACCATATATTTTCCTGTATTTGTTTTCCATAGCACTGTACTTCTTTATATAGATCCATGATTCTGCCTGGTATCATTCTTTTTTCTGCTTAAAAATTTTTCTTAATTTTTTTTTCTGTAGGAAATAAATCCTCTCAGTTTTTGTTTGTCTCAGAAAATTTTTCTCCTTCACTTTTGAAAGTTATTTTCACTGGATATAGATTTTGGATTGGCAGTTAATTTGTAATTAGCACCTTAAAATTGTTATTCTATGGTTTTTTGACTTGCATAGCTTCTGATAAGAAGTCTGCTATAATTCTTACTTTTGTTTTCTCTGACTGTCCTCAGGAATTTCTCTTTATCTTTGGTTTTCAGTGGTTTGAATATAATATATCTAGGCATTTAAAAATATTTCTTTTGCTTGATGTCCTCTCAGCTTCTTATATCTATGCTTGATATCTTTAATTGGGAAATTCTGGATCATAATTTCTTACATTATTATTACTTAATACTCAATGCTTGTTATCTTGCTTACTATTTCTTCCAGCGTTTTTTTTTTCTGTATCACTCTATCTCTTCTCCTTCTGAGACACCAATTACATAAATTTTAGACTTTTTAATATTGTACCACAACTCTTGGGTTCTCTATTTTGTTTTTTTGTTTGTTTTTACTTTTTTTTTTAATCTTTGTGCTCCAGTTTGAGTAATTTTTATTGACCTATCTTCAAGTTCATTGATTTTTTTTTTTTTTTTTTTTTTGACAGAGTCTTGCTCTATCACCCAGGGTGGAGTGCAGTGGCATGATCTCGACTCACAGCAACCTCTGCCTCCCAGGCTCAAGTGATTCTTGTGCCTCAGCCTCCAAAGTGGTTGAGACTACAGGCATGCACCACCATGCCTGACTAATTTTTGTGTTTTTTAGTAGAGAGGAGGTTTCACCATGTTGGCCAGCTGGTCTCTCACTGATTCTTTTCTCAGCTGCCTCAATTATACTTATCAACTCTGCAAGGGCATATTCATTTTGTTACCGTATTTTTTATTTGTGACATTTATATTTGATTCGGTTTCATAGTTTTCAGCTTTCTGCTGAAATTTCCTAATTGTTTATGAACATTGTCTGCTTTTTTTCACTAAAGTCTTTACTACGTTAATCATATTTTAAATTCTTTAATAATTGCAAGATTGAGGTTATATCTGAGTCTAGTTCTGTTAATTGCTTTGTGTTTTGAAAAGGTGTTATGCTTTCTTGTCTTATTGTATGTTGTGTATTTTATCTGAAGGTTGGACATTTTATGTAGAACAAGAGAGACTGAGACTAATATTGTTTACGTTTGTAAATGTCCACCTTTTCTTTTGCTAGGTTTTAGAATAAAGATGTGAGGGAAATTGAGTCAATCTAATCAGGAGTGGAGCCGGGTGTGGTTTTGTTGCAATTGTGAACCTCAGCATGCCACAGCCTTGAAATTCCTTGTCCTTAGATTAGTGGCTGGTTTGTTGGAGAATTTTATTAATATCTGTTCCACCTTCAGCTTTAGGCTTTCCCTGCATGCCTGTGCCTCAGACTGGGTCCCTTTCCAAGCTTTTGGGCCTCTCCCAGCAATAGACTGCTATTACTTATTGTGCAGTGCTTGCTGTCTTGGTTGTACTATGTGGGGTGCAGGACACTTAGGCTTTGTTATACTAGTTCAGCCTCAATTATAGGAAAGTACTTATGTTCCTGAGGATGAGACATTTTCAATGATTGTTTCACTCTCCCAGGTGTAGGAGAGCACTAATCATCTGAGTTTAGGATGACTTCTTGCCTTTCCTGGAAGAGCAAAAGAATTTTATCTATTCTCTTTCTCTAGCTGCAATAGATCTTGGCTTTTTGCCCAATATTTAGTGGGTTTGCTGAATCTTCCCTCAGCGGTGTAAGGCTTTTGTTGCCTAAGAAAGATGGAGAGAAGAATCCAGGTGGAGTTTTGTAATTTTGCTCGAGTGGATAATATTTTCCTCCCTCAGCTGACTTTATAAGAAAGGCTTCTTACCTGTAGTCCCAGCTACTTGAGAAGCTGAGGTGGAAGGAATACCTGAGCCCAGGAGGTCAAGACTGCAGTGACCATGCCTCAAAAAAAAAAAGTCTTCCTCCTAACTCTTTAGTTGCCCCACATCTCTCTTGTTAGTAAGTAAGGTCCATAGAGGAGCTCCTGTGAGTGGGTGCAAATTCTCTTTGTGTTTGTGATCCCCAAGGTTTCTATTCTCTCAAATTAGGTAACACTTGGCTTTTAGCAATTTGCTTAAAATTTTGGTTGTTTTCTTCTCATCTTATATACTGTCCAGTGTATTCTCTAGCTAAGTAAGGACTTATACTCTTTATCTCCTGTCTTTCTTTAGATTTTGTGTTTGTTTGTTGCCCTGAGATTGTAAATGTCTGGCAAAAGTTATGAATTTGTAGATTATTTTACTTTTTTTGTAGAAAGAGTGAGAGCAGCACTCTTTCCAGATTTCTAAATTCAAAAGAGAAATCTAAATTCAGTTTATTTTGAATTATTATTATATAAGACAAATCTCTTATCACTGATTTAATCATGATATCATATACAATATGTTTATTTTTATGTCATATACAATGTGATACAATATCATATACAATAAGTGATACAATATACAATAAATATATAATACATATAATTAGAGATACTTGAACATGCATTATAAATATTATAAGTTTTGGAATCAGATAGACCTGGGTTTGAATCTTAGACCTGCCATATTCTTGCTATGTGACTTTGGAAATATATTTTTTTGTCTGAATCTCCAATTCTCTCATCTGTAAAATGGAAAGAGAAGTACCTATGCAATACAGTTCTCTTTAGGATAGTATAGAACATGTAACAGGTGCCTATTAATGTTTTCTTGGTCAAAGATTACTTGGTTACAAAAATAAAAACTTCTTGTTCAGCATTGAATAAAGGCAGTTTATTGCAACAACTAAACGATTAGGCCTCTCCTAGAAGGGTGGAGAGAAGAGGTATTTCAATTGTAATACATGGACTTTTACTTTTGTGCTCTGCCATTAATGTGACTTAACCACCAATTGGCTTAGTCACCATATTTCTTTAAATTTTAAGAGTGGACATCTGCTTCATTCAGCTTAACCTAGCACTGGTTTCTTTTGGATTGTTGATTATCTCTGGGCTCATAGTTGTGGCTAGGGAGAAGGAGGCAGGTGATATGGTTCAAACAAGGTTCTGGAGACTTTGGGCAGAAGAAGCTTATTTGGAAGAAGCTATGAACAGCTGGACAATGACTGCTGTCTCCAGTTCAAGACTAATTTTTTTTACTCTTCCTTTTCAAATAATCTTTGCTTAGGATGAAACAGCAGATTATTTAACATCTATGAAAATTATTAAATTAATTTTATAATTCAGCCTGAACTTCACAAATTAACATGGATCCTTTTCTATGTACATAATACCTACATTTGACACAAATATGGCCACCTTTCCCTAAACCATTACATTTTTACACCCCCAATACATCCTATAATAATAGAAAGGAAGCCATCTTTGATTAATCTCAATGGACCAGGCTCACTTCTTGACTGGTAAATGCTTCAGGTGGATGAGTAGACAGACTGTTGTGTTTGAATACCAGCTCAGCCATTGACTAGCTATAAGATGTAAATTACTTATCTTCTCAGTTTCTTCTTTTCTAAACTGAGAATAACAATAATAACACTTGCCTCACAAAGTCATTGGGGGATTAAATCGGATGACACATATGGAGTACTTAACACATTGCTCAATAAGTTATAGGTACATAATAAATATATTTTTGTTCTTATGGTAGTGGCATGCCTCACCAGAGATTACATTTGAGTTTTTCCTCATGAAAGGGGATAGAATAGTGGAAAAACCAAAGACAGTTCTTCTGCCCACCCCTCAACCCATAAGAGTGGGCATCGTATGTTTAGGGGAGCATATTTAGGGAAGACTTCGTTAGAGAGTAATCACCTTTGAGTCACAGAAGGCAGCTCCTTTATGAAGTCTCCCTCGTTGGAACAAGGGAGTGATCTGTCAGAATTATTGAGAAACCACATTTTCCAAAGAAAAGAGATGCAATCACATCTTTCATGTGCCATGAACTTGTGATTTTAAAAAATCGTCTAGACTGCTACATGGATCTCCTGTAGGAAGCAAAAGGGGCAGTATTTAGGGTCTTTGAAGGGGTAACCATCTGATCCACACCTAATCAAGCACTGTGAATGCTGGCCATTACTCTGTGAGAGGGTAGGGAGTGACCCCTAATGAGCTGATAAGGCAAAACTGCAACCCTGGGGACTCAAGTGTAGGACATTCTTTGCCAACCTTAGCTCTGAAGAAGTAGGGTGGTTCTACTCTAAAGAACTGAGGTGTCCTGCATGTTAATAGCTGGTGGCATTTCATTGTAGAGTGGGCAGCTTCATCTGTCAGACTTCGGAGGACAAGTTTTCAACAATAACACCATGTGGCAGATGGAAGCAACATGTTAATAGCTGACATCTATTGTGCATTTACTACATACTGCACAATTCTAATCTGTTTTCATGAATTGACTCATTTAATTCTCATTACATATTTTATAGGTGAGGTAACTGAAGCCAAAAGAGGTAGTAAATTACCCAATTGAAAAAGTGACAGAACCAGAATTCAAACCCAGGCAGTCTCTCTGGAGACTCTGTGACTAGCCACTATATATGATGTGGACATAAATGATCTTTCCAATAGGCAGGAGAAGGCAGACAAATCTCCTGTTGCACTGCATGTATCTGCAGGAATTCGGATGATTCAGAGGGAGAATGAGAGCCCCATGAGAAAGATTTCTTGCTTTTGCATAAAATGTGACCATATTAATAATATTATTATTGTAGTCTCTAGGTAATTTTCTACATATGATTTTCCAATTAGATGTTAACCTCCTTGAGGAAATAGACTGTTGCTAATTTGTTTTGTAAACCATATTTTCTTTATAATACTCTGAAGAGCATTCTCCTTATAGGAGATAATTGGCAAGGTTTCTGTGACAGAAAGATAAGACTAGGCCTAAAAATTAGATTTAGGCAAATTGAACGTGGAATAATACCTAAGAACTCATGATGTATTTAGGTTTCTGGTGACTGAAGCCTTCGGTTTCACTATTGCTAGGAAATCATTTATAAAGAAAATTCTGAAACCATGGTTTACAAGTTACCCTCCTGAGAAGCACCTTAAGTGAGTAGTTTGAGTGGCACACATTCAACCTCCTTTTGTGGGTAGAAGTGACCCAACGTAAGATGACAGTGACTATTTGTCAATACAAATCTTTTCAAAATATAGGTCAACAGGAGAAAGAACATTCATTTTCATGTTACCTGGGTTCTTCTATCTCTTGGGAACATGTCTGTTGATGTGGAGCTTGACACCAATGCCATCTGAATTAGTCCCTGCTAAAATTTTCAGGAAAAAAGCCTATTATCCTTGCATTTTTTGTGTACTGAGAGGTAATTATTTAACTATCAATATATCCAGAGCACTGTAGTATTTTATAAGCAGTCTCAAAACAGTGACGACCAAAAATCAAAGCATGATCATTTTCCTCAAGATATAACAGAAATAAAAAATGACACTTTTTTACCCAGCAATAAACTCTTTTAAAGAAAAAGTTAGGAAGGAATGATGGTATCTTACTATAGATTCTTAGAGAAAGCAGCAAATGTCACTGCACCACAAAAGAGAAATTCATTGGCACTTTTAACAGTACCTTATTATTTTCTCATTATAAAAATTATACTTTATTGTTTGAAAGTATAAATTGTTCATATTTGCATATAAGTGAAAAAATGAAACTACCTGTAACCTCACTATGCAACAATAACCACTGTGAATATATTATTTCAGGGTTTTCTTTATTCATCTAGATTGAGATGTAGATCTACATTAATATCTACATAACCTTTCCCACCTCGCTCTCTCTCTAGATCACAAAAGTGACATCACACTGGAGATATTTTGTTGTGTGTTTTCTTCTACCTAGGCTAGAAATTGAAACATTCTCCATTGTGGCAGAAATGGCTGGTTGAGTTACAAAGACATGAGCTCCCCTTCCACAGTGGGGAGCTGTTGCTGAGAAGCAGTTGCCCAGCCAAGAACTGCATCTTCCAGCCCCTATGCAGCTATGTAGGCAGGATGTTACCACTTTTGGTAAAGTGTAATAGGAACTGAAGTGACGTGCCACTTCTGGGCCAAGGAGATTAAGTATGTGCTTAACTATGTGCTTCCCCCATACTTTCATTCATTTCATTCATTTCCAATTTAACTCGGAGGCCACTCTTGTACTTTTCCATTGCCATGAGAAAACATGACATCTGGATAACCTGCTGGTCCCAGGAGGAGAACAAAAGACACATGGAGCAGAGCCACCCCAGCCTCCCCATGATGTGAAGCTGTACACTGAAGCAGAGCTACCCCAATTGGCCTGCAAACTTGCGATTAAGATATAAATGATTATTGTTGTATTGCATTAAGTGTGCAAGCTAATGTACGCAAAGTACATGTAATTGAGTATGGAAAGACAGATGTGTCTCAGAAAGAATTGTGCCTGCTTTATTTCTCTTAGCATTTTGTCCTCTAGGGATGTCCATATTGTCAAAAATGGCAGGAATTCCTTCTACTTAAAGGCTGAATGATATTCTGTTTTCTTTATTATTCATACATTGATGAATACTTCAATTGTTTTTATGTCTTGGCTATTGTGAATAATACTATAATCAACAAAGAAGGGCAAATATCTTTACAAAGTGATCTCATTTATTTTTTTGAGTGGGGTGGGTATTGATCCAGAATAGAAAGAAAAATACTCCATGATCTCACTTACATGTGGAATCTAAAGAGAAAGAAACTAAATACATAGAAACAGAGAGTAGAATGGTAGTTACCAGGGGCAGGGGGTGGAGGAAATGGGAAATTGTAGGTGCAAAGCTGCAATTATAAAGATTGAATAAATCTAGAAATCTAATAGTAGCATGAGGACTGTAGTTAATAATATTGTACTATACACTGGAAATTTGTCACAGGGTAGATTTTAGATACTCTTAGCACCAGAAAAGAAAAAAGTAACTATATGAGATGATGGATATGCTAATTTCCTTGACTATAGTAATAACTTTACTGTATATGTCAAAACATCATGTTGTACACCTTAAATGTATACAATAAAAATTATGCATGTGGTTTTTTTTACAAAGAGCCTTTATTATAATCAAATACATGGAAAGCCTCCAGAGTTTATGAGAAAATGGTATTGGCAAAACAACCCCAGCCTAGACTAAAACAAATTGATACTTTATGAGGTAATAAAATAACTCCTTAAGATTCTGTAGGTAGAAAACAGGCTAAGAAAGCTATTCAGGATTCAAGAGTGGTGAATTCTCTACTGCTCTTTTCAGAAGTGACCAAGGAAGAGAATGTAAAAGGAAAGCTCTTCACCTGTACCCACGAAGGGCTTTGTCAACACCTTTGGAAAACAATGCACTAGGCAAGAGACTCCCAGGGATCAGATCTTGGGTCAAATCAAAGAACATATTTTTCCCTCAGAATAAAATGGCAACATATTGACAATGGGCTTTCAGAATCGCTAAGGACCAGTGAGCAATTGCCATGCGCCTCTCATTCTTTCCTTTTTCAAGTGCGAGTGTTTATTGTGGGTATCTCGTCCCAGTTCCACTGTTGTATATTGAATGCAATGAGGGACGGTAACTTATCTGTTTAGATCATGGGTCTCTGGATCACACAGGGAGCACAACAGGATTTTATGTTGGCCATGAGATCTTGAACTCTGAACCAAATGTTATCAATGGACAAGACACTTTTGGAGACTTGAGATGGGGGTGAGTATATTTTGCACAGGAAAAGAATATAAATATTTATAAACAATATAGAGAACTGTGATATATTAGACAGTTGCTTAGAAATATTTACTTCCTTCCTTCACCCTGACCCTTCTCATCATTTCACCCTGGCCACATGACTTGGCCCTGGCCATATGACTTGCTTTGGCAAATGGTACATTGCCAGGCTTGGTTCAAGCAAATGCTTGAAATATGCTTGAGTTATAAGTCTTACCTTTTTGTGCTTCTGTCTTTGTCATGAGATGTACAAACCCCTGGCAATCCACTGGTCTCAGGTGAAAGGTAAGGGACACATAGAGAAAAACCACCCCAGTGACTGCCACCTGAAACAAAGCTACACAGATCACCCACAAAATTGTGAACAAGAAATAAATCTTTTGTATTCACATGAGTTTGAAGTTGTTCCATGACATACCTATGTGGCTTTGTCCCTCACCCATTTCATGTTTCTGCTAAAATGTTACCTTCTTAGTGACTGACTCATCCTATTTAAAATAACAACCTTCACTCAGGCCAACACATTGCATCCGTCTTCTCTGCTATATTTTTCTCCATAGCGCTTACCACCTTCTAATATACTATACAGCTTATTCATTTTGGGGGTTTATGGTCTGTTCTCACCATCTAAAATATAAGTTCCATTTGGTTAGAAATTCATGTCTGTTTTCTTTACTGTTGTATCCGCAACACCTAGCACATTGCCTGGCACATAGTAAGTGCTAAATTTTTGCTAAATGAATAGACTAATCAGTGTAAACATGGAAAAAAATACCAGAAAGAAGTATAGAAAATATCAGTGATGGATATCTCCAGTTTCTATGAATGTGGGTGATTTCCACTTTCTTTATATTTTCTATAGTTCCTAAATAATGTACAACATATATGACTTGTTTAATGAAAACAAAACAACTTTAAAAAATTATTTCAGGTAGGCATAGAAATCTCAGAGAGTTTTTTCTGTTTATTTTAATATTATTGGGATTGTCCATTTCTTAGTAGGCAGAATTTGTGTCCTAGTATATCTTGTGGCATAAGGATATGTGGGCAGGGGAGAGTCAAAACAGAAGACAAGTGGGCCAAGGAGAGGAATTTGAGAAGCTGAGAGTTGAGAATGGAGACTGGGTATGGGAATCACATCCTAGAAATCAGTTCCATACGTCTCTGCACAAATCTGGGCAAATTTTATTTTTCATCCTGTCTCAAGCTAAAGTGTTGCCAAGGACTCTCATTTCTCACTATTCTTGAGCTTTAAGATGAGTTCAACTTTTACTACTTCTTTAGACATTTTAATGATTTATTTTACTGCACCTGTAGATTTATGATGAAACCACAATAAGGAATCTAATTAATAAGCCCCTAGTTAAAAAAATGTTGCTGTCCTATTTCATAGGGTACTGGTCAGGATACTGAAACAGCAGCAGTAACAATTGTAGCCAGAATAATACTAGTAAGACATCAGGTATTTGCCAAATTATTAAACTCCAGTTAGAGGAGCTGGAGTCATTTCAGAAGTTGCTTCTTGTGGACTGAATGATAGCTTTAAGTCTGAGATGACCATCACAAGTTGTAACAGGACTATGGATGAAAGTAGCACAGGCATATCTCAGATAGATGGTGGGTTTGGTTCCAGACCACTGCAATAAAGAGAATATTGCAATAAAGTAAGTCACATGAAATTTTTTATTTCCCAGTGCATATAAAACTTATGTTTACTATACTGTATTTTATTAAGTATTCAGTAGCATTATGTATTAAAAAACAAAATACATATATTAATGTAAAAATACTTTATTGCTATAAATGCTAATGATCATCTGGGCCTTCAGCAAGGCACAATGTTTTTGCTGGTGGAAAGTCTTGCCTCAATTTTGATGGCTGCTGACTGATCAGGGTGATGGTTGCTGAAGGGTGGGGTGGGGTGGCTGTTGCAATTTCTTAAAAATAAGACAATGAAGTTTGCTGCATTGATTGACTCTCTCTTTCGTGAAATATTTCTCTCCAGTATGAACTGCTGTTTGACAGCATTTTACCCACAGTAGAACTCCTTTCAAAATTGGAATGAATTCTCTCAAACGCTACAGCTGCTTTATCAACTATGTTTACATAATATTTTAAA
This sequence comes from Homo sapiens, assembly GCF_000001405.40. Classification (NCBI taxonomy): domain Eukaryota; kingdom Metazoa; phylum Chordata; class Mammalia; order Primates; family Hominidae; genus Homo; species Homo sapiens. The sequence goes on from NC_000012.12 coordinate 77,208,157, forward strand.
TCTTTTGTTGTCAGTGGAACAACGTTCACCACATCCTCACCAGGAGTAGATTCCGTCTCAAGAAACCACTTTCTTTGCTCCTTCACTTTTGTTCACTCCTCATCTGTTCAAGTTTTATCATGAGATTGCAGCAATTCAGTCACATCTTCAGGCTCCACTTCTAATTCAAGTTCTTTGCTATTTATACCACATCTGCAATGTCTTCTTCCACTGGAGTCTTGAAGCCCTCAAAGTCATCAATGAGGGTTGGAATCAACTTCTTTCAGAATCTGGTAAATGTTGATATTTTGTCCCCCTCCTATGAATCATGAATTTTCTGAATGGCATCTAGACTTCTGATAAATTCTTTCCAGAAGGTTTTCAATTTACTTTTCTTAGATGTGTCAGTTGAATCATTGTCTATGATAGCTATAGCCTTATGAAATGTATTTCTTAAATAATAAGACTTGAAAGTCCAAATTACTCCTTGACCCATGGGCTGAAGATGGATGTTGTGTTAGCAGGCATGGGAACGACGTTAATCTCCTTGTACATCTCTATCAGAGCCCTTGGGGGACCAGGTGCATTGCCAGTGAGCAGTAATATTTTGAAAGAAATGTCTTTTTCTTGAGCACTAATCTCAACGATGGCCTTAATCTATTCAGTAAACCATGCTGTAAACAGATATGCTATCATCCAGACTTTGTTATTCCATTTATAGAGCATAGGCAGAATAGATTTAGCATAATTCTTAAAGGCCCCAGGATTTTCAGAATGATCAATGAACATTGGCTTCAACTTAAAGTCACCAGCTGTATTTAGCCCTTAACGAGAAAGTCAGCGTGTCCTTTGAAGCTTTAAAGCTAGACTTTGACTTCCTCTCTCTAACTATGAAAGTCCTAGATGACATCTTCTTCCAATATAAAGCTATTTTGTCTACAATGAAAACTTGTTGTTTAGTGTAGCCACCTTTATCAATTAACCTCAGTAGGTCTTGGGATAACTTGCGGCAGCTTCTCCATCAGCACTTGCTGCCTCATCTTGCACTTTTATGTTACAGAGACAGCTTCTTTCCTTAAACCTCACGAACCAACCTCTGCTACCTTCAAACTTTCTGTCTGCAGCTTCCTCAACTCTCTTAGGCTTCACAGAACTGAAGAGAGTTAGGGCCTTGCTCTGGATTAGGCCTTAAGGGAATATTATGGCTGGTTTGATCTATCCAGACCACTGAAAGTTTCTCTATATCAGCAGTAAGGCTGTTTCATTTGCTTATCATTTGGATATTCACCGGAGTATCACTTTTAATGTCATTGCAGAACTTTTTCCTCTGCGTTCACCACTTGGCTAACTGTCTGATCTAAGAGGCCTGGATTTCAGCATATCTCAGCTTTTTACATGCCTTCCTTACAAAGCTTAATCATTCCTAGCTTTTGATTTAAAGTGAGAGACATGTGACTTTTCCTTTTACTGGAATGCTTACAGGCCACTGTAGGGATATTAAATGGTCTCATTTCAATATTGTTGTGTCCCAGGGAATAGGAAGGCCCAAGCAGAGAAAAAGACATGGAGAGGAAGAGAGACTGGGAAATGGCTGGCTGGTGGAGCAGTCAAAACGCACACATTTCTCAATTAAGCTTGCCATCTGATATGAGTGCAGTCTGTGGAGCCTCAAAACAATTATAATAGCAATATTAAAGATCATTGATCACACATCACCATAACAGATATAATAACTGACACTTTTGATATATTACAAGAATTACCAAAATGTGACACAGAGACACCATGTGAGCACATGCTGTTGGAAGAATGGCACGAGTAGATTAGATTTGCTCGATACAGAGTTGCTACGAACCTTCAATTTGTAAAAATATGCAATATCTGAGAAGTGCAATTAAGCAAAGCACAATAAAACAAGGTGTGGCTGTATAGCACGGGGTTAAGGGCATGGGAATTTGGAGTATGATGGAATTTGATTTAAATTTCAGCTCCATCTCTTACTAGCAGTATTGTCTCAGCAAGTAACTAACTTTTCTGAACCTCACTTTTATCACATGCAGTTGGGAAAAATACAGTTGAAAAAAGATGCCATTTGTAAAGTGCTTAGTATTTAATCACTAGCAAGTACTTAATAAATTCTAGTTGCTATTACTACTATTGCTACTCCTATGACTATAATTTTCTTAATTAATACCTGCTTAGCTTGCTAGAAGGCAGGCTGGCAAGCTGGCCTTTCACAAAATGAAGAGAGGAAGAACTTGTGAGAAATCTTTACAAAAATTTTTAAACTTAAAATTTTTTATGGGTACATAGTAGGTATATACATTGATAAGGTACATGAGATATATTGATACAGGTATATGGTGTGTGATAATCACATCAGGGTAAGTGAAAGATCCATCACCTCAATATTTGTCATTTTGTGTTACAAACATTTCAATTATACTCTTTCCACTATTTTCAAATTTACAATAAATTATTGTTAACTGTAGTTGCCTTGTTATTCTATCAAAACTAGATCTTATTCATTCTAACTATATTTTTATACCCATTAACCATCCTCACTTCACCCCTCTTCCCCGCTAGCCTTCTCAGTCTCTGGTAACCATCATTCTATTCTCTCTTTCCATGAGTTCAATTTTTGCTTTAATTTTTAGCTCCGTCAAATGAGTGAGAACATGCAAAGTTTGTCTTTTCATGTCTGGCTTATTCCACTTAACATAATGTCCTCTAGTTCCATCCATGTTGTTGAAAATGATAGGATCTCATTCTTTTTCATGGCTGAATAGTACTCCATTGTGTACATGTACCACATTTTCTTTATCCATTCATTTGTTGTGAACACTTAGGCTGCTTCCAAATCTTGGCTATTGTGAATATTGCAGCAGTAAACATGGGAGTGCAGATATCTCTTTATTATATGATGTCCTTTCTTTGGTGTATATACCAAGCAGTGGGATTGCTGGATCATGTGGTAGTTCTGTTTTTAGTTTTTTTGAGAAACCTCCATACTGTTCTCTATAGTGGTTGTACTAATTGACATTTCTACCAACCGTGTACAGGGGTTCCCCTTTCTACACATCCATGCCAGCATTTGTTATTGCTTGTCTTTTTGATAAAAGCCATTTTAATTGGGGTGATATGGTATCTCATTGTAGTTTTGATTTGCATTTCTCTGATGATTAATGATCTTGGGCACCTTTTCACGTACTTGTTTGCCAATTGTATTTCTTCTTTTCAGAAATGTCCATTCAGATCATTTGCCCATTTTAAAATCAGTTTTTTAGTTTGTCTATGGAATTATTTGAGCTCCTTATATATTCTGGTTATTAATCCTTTGTCAGATGTATAATTTGCAAATATTTTCTCCCATTCTGTGGGTTGTTACTTTACTTTGTTGTTTCCTTTGCTGTGCAGAAGCTCTTTAACTTGATGTGATCCCATTTGTCCATTTTTGGTTTGGTTGCCTGTGCTTGTGGGGCATTACTCAAATCTTTGCCAAGATCAAGGTCCTGGAGAGTTTCTCTAATGTTTTCTTTTAGTAGTTTCTTAGGTTGAGATCTTAGATTTAAGTCTTTAATTCATTTTGATTTGATTTTTATATATGGTAAGAGAGAGTGGGCTCAGTTCATTCTTCTGCATATGGATATCCAGTTCTCCCAGCACCATTTATTGAAGAGACTCTCCTTTCCTTGGTGTGTATTCTTTGCACCTTTGTCAAAAATGAGTTCACCATAGATGTACGAATTTATTTCTGGGTTTTGTATTCTGTTTCATTGATCTGTGTGTCTGTGTTTATGCCAGTTCCATGCTGTTTTGATTACTATAGCTCTGTAGTATAATTTGAAGTCAGTAATGTGATTCCTCCAGTTTTGTTCTTTTGTTCACAATGGCTTTGGCTATTTTGGGTCTTTTGTGGTTCCATATAAATTTTATAATTCTTTTTTCTATTTCTATGAAGAATGTCACTGGTATTTTGATAGGGGTTGCAATGGATCTGTAGATTGCTTTGGATAGTATGGAGATTTTAACAATACTAATTGTTCCAATTCATGAACATGGAATCTGTTTCCATTTTATTGTGTCCTTTAACAATTTCTTGCATCAATGTTTTATAGTTTTCATTGTAAAGTTATTTCACTTATTTGATTAAGTTTATTTCAAAGCTATTTTATTTGTAGTTATTGTAAATGAGATTACGTTCTTGATTTCTTTTTTAAATTGTTTGCTGTTGACATATAAAAATGCTACTGATTTTTGTATGTTAATTTTGTATCCTAGAGAAATACATTTAAAAAATACTCCTAAGATTCCCAACTTTTCACTAAGTGGTGGCTGTTGATTGTATTATCTTTTTGAAATTTAACAGCAGGGCATTACTATATAGCTTCCACAGTGTCATAAAATTTGGTACATCTTGAACTTAAGTGATGCTACACTGGCACAAGCTGTTGTTTCTTGAGTGTTCTAGCAATCAATACCTATCCTGAATCACAGCTGTGTTGATCAAATCTATCTATCTATCTATCTATCTATCTATCTATCTATCTATCTATCTCTTTTTAGAGACAGGGTCTCATTATGTAGCCTATGAACTCATGGGCTCAAGTGATCCTCCTGTCTCAACCTTCCAAGTAGCTGGGACCATATTTTTTACGGGGAAAAAAAAACTTAGATCAAATATTGTGTGTTCTCATTCATATGTGGAAGGTAAAAAAGTGAATCTTGTGAAGATAGTAAAGTGGTGGTTATGAAAGGCTGGGAAGGGAGGAGAGAATGAAGGAAAAAAAGAGAATATAAATATATTTATTACCACTGAACTGTAGGCTTAAAACTGGTAAAGAAGGTAAATTTTATATGTATATATTTTCCTCATTTTTTTTAAAAGAGTCTAGAGCACCACCAGCATGGAGGATTGCAGCAATTTCTCCTGATAAATATGTAAGACATAAAATTCAGTGGATGGACAGCAGAGAGTTATGAAACACTCCCCTTGACTGAAAAACAGTACCGGGGGAAAGCTAATTCACTCACATTACACATTTTCTTTTTAATCAGGATTTCCTCAAATTAAACATACATTGATGGGCAATGTAAACATCTCATGTGATATTGAAACAGTTGTCAACATCCTTAAGGAATTAACCCCCCTCCCTCCATGTTGGGCCTTTGCTGCCCTGCTGGTCTTTTTTTGTTTTTGAGTCTAGCCTCATTACATTAATAGCTCAAAACCTTCTCAGGCGTGTTAAAAATAGATTGCAAGAGAATTGAATGCAGTGTTTCCCTCCTCCCTCCCACTTTTTTTCTTGACTCTAATATAATGGCACTCCTCAGAAACAGTCCACGGAAATCCAGATTTTCGCAGTGGCTTGTGTGGGAAGTGCAGACTATTGTGTGCAAGTGTTGCAGCCTACTGCTTGGCAGGAAGTCGTTTTTCGGAAAAGTTAACTGAACAAACACCTTCCATTGTCTACAGAGGTTGAAAGTCCAATGAAATTTCCTTATTGCTATCTCTAAAGCAATTTGGTGGCTGTGATTACATTTAACCCTTTATTTCTAAAGTCTCATTTTTATTGAAGGCTCTTCCCTTCAGTGATTCTTAACCTTTTCTGATTCTCAGACTCTTTTGAGAATTTGGTGGGACAATAAACTCATGTATTCTTTTTTAAGGGGATCAACAGTTCTTTCTCTCATCCTCTCTCCCATGTCAAACTGTAGCAGGTCTAAGTCATTAATTATCAAGGGAAAAACTCTAAAGAAGAGAAGGTGAGGATCCAATGCATTTCTCATTTCTTTTATTGCAAATTAATTTTTTTTAAAGGCTGAGCTTTGCTGTGAACTATTTTAAAAGCTGTTAATCACTTTCATAGTCTCATTTATCAAAGTGATAATAATACATAGGCTTAGTTTTCCTGTGCTGTAATACAACTGAAAAAATTAACATTATAAATGAATATACAAAGAGTTCGACCAGAAAGGCAAAAATAAAAAATAGGCTACATTAAATTTGGTGATGACTGCTTTCATACTCTAAATATTTCACATTGCTTCAAAAGAGAATTTGTGAAAAAGTCTTTAAACAAAAAAACACATCTTTTGGTTTAATTTAAGATTGTAAGATTTAGCTATTCCACGGTGGAATTTGTTGACTCATAAGATAGTGAGTTTGCTGTCATTGGGAATATTCAGTAAAAGCATACTTACATTATGTGTCAGGTATATCAAAGAAAACCTTTCTGTTCTGTGGCCAGATAACTTCTATCAGGCCTTTGCATCAGAAATCCTACAAGTTAAAACAGAATTTAGTTGGTCTATAGGAGGAAAACTTTTGAGATGTATTTCTTTTTGTTTTCTTTTTTCCTATGCATATGACCAAGGCAATGGTTTTAATTAGTGCTGAGATGGAGTTCCAACTTTCCAGTATCATTTACTTTCTGTATGGTCTTGGATATCTATGATGCTATTACATGAAAACTACAACCTTTTCCCCAATGTCTAGAAAGTGACAAATTGTCCTATTATTCACTGGGAATTGATTTGGGAAGAGGGAAACTATTGTGTTACCTTCAGGGAAAGAGTACATCTGAATCAACTCTTTTTATCAAGTGCTTCGATTTTTGTCCCAAGTATTTTGATTAACTAAAATTTGAGAGTGTATATATAAAAGTATTCTTTTCTCATCCAATCTGTTGTTATTTATGTTGAATGTATGGGTTGTGAATTGCCAGGTCAAGTAAATGTGATGGCATTTAGCATCTATGGCTATTTTCCAAATGGATTCCTCATAACAAAGCCTTTGCACAATCTGAAATCCATTATCCTGAAGCTTTCCTATAGCCCTAAATTTGGTATATGTATTACTCAGCTCAGGCTGCCATAACAAAATTCTATAGACTGAGTGGCTTAAACAACAGAATTTGTTTTCTCATGATTCTGGAGGCTGGAAGTTCCCTACAGGGTGTCAGCATGGTCCAGTTTTAACAAGGGCTGTCTTCCTGGTTAGCTTCCTGCCTTCCTGCTATGTGCTCACATGTCCTATTCCTAGAGAAATCTCTCTCTTTCTCTCTCTCTTTCTTTTTATAAGAAGAGCAATCCTATCAGATTAGGAACCCATCTCTATTATCTCACGTAACCTTAATTATCTCCTAAAAGCCCTATTTCTAAATACAATCACATTGGAAATTAGAACTTCAACGTATGAATTTTGGGGAGGACACAATTCAGTCCCTAGCAATATCACATATGTTGATATGGTTTGGCTGTGTCCCCACCCAATTCTCATGGTGAACTATACTCCCATAATTCCCATGTGTTGTGGGAGGGACCTGGTGGGAGATAATTTGAATCATGGGGGTGGTTTTCCCCATACTGTTCTCATGGTAGTGAATAAGTCTCATGAGATCTGATGGTTTTATCAGGGGTTTCTGCTTTTGCTTATTCCTCATTTTCTCTTGCCACTGCCATGTAAGAAGTGCTTTTTGCCTCCCACTATGATTCTGAGGCCTCCCCAGCCACGTGGGACTGTAAGTCCAATTAAACCTCTTTGTCTTCCCAGTCTCAGGTATGTCTTTATCAGCAATGTGAAAATGGACTAATACAGTAAATTGGTACCAGAAGAGTGGGGTGTTGCTGAAAATATACCTGAAAATGTGGAAGCACATTTGGAACTGGGTAACAGGCAGAGGTTGGAACAGTTGGAGGGCTCAGAAGAAGACAGGAAAATGTGGGAAAGTTTGGAACTTCCTAGAGACTTGTTGAATGGCTTTGACCAAAAGCCTGATAGTGATATGGACAATAAGGTCCAGGCTGAGGTGGTCTCAGATGGAGATGAGGAACTTGTTGGAAACTGGAGCAAAGGTGACTCTTGTTATGTTTTAGCAATGAGACTGGTGGCATTTTGCCCCTGACCTTGAGATTTCTGGAACTTTGAACTTGAGAGAGATGATTTAGGGTATCTGGCAGCAGAAATTTCTAAGCAGCAAAGCATTCAAGAGGTGACTTGGGTGCTATTAAAGGCATTCAGTTTTATAAGGGAAGTGGAGCATAAAAGCTCAGAAAATTTGCAGCCTGACAATGTGATAGAAAAGAAAAACCAATTTTCTAAGGAGAAATCCAAGTCAGCTGCAGAAATTTGCATAAGTAAACAGGAGCCAAATGTTAATCCCCAAGACAATGGGGAAAATGTCTCAAGGGCATGTCAGAGACCATTGTGGCAGCCCCTCTCATCTCAGGCCCCGAGGCCTAGGAGAAAATGGTTTCGTGGGCTGGGTCCAGGGTTCCCATGCTGTGTGCAGCCTAGAGACTTGGTGCCCTGTGTCCCAGCCACTCCAGCTGTGGCTGAAAGGGGCCAATGTAGAGCTCAGGCCATGGCTTCAGAGGGTGCAAACCTCAAGCTTTGGCAGCTTCCACACAGTGATGAGCCTGTGAGTGCACAAAAGTCAAGAATTGGGGTTTGGGAAGCTCCGCTTAGATTTCAGAAGATGTATGGAAATGCCTGGATGCCCAGGCAGAAGTTTGCTGCAGGGGCAGGGTGCTCATAGAGAGCCTCTGCTAGGGCAGTGCACAGGGAAATGTGGGCTCAGAGCCCCCACACAGAGTCCCTACTGGGACACCACCTAGTGAAGCTGTGAGAAGAGGGCTACTGTCGTCCAGACCCCAGAATGGTAGATCCACCAAAAGATTGCACTGTTCACCTGGAAAAGCCACAGATGCTCAATGTCAGCTCATGAAAGCAGCTGGGAGGGAGGCTGTATGCTGCAACACCACAGGGTCAGAGCTGCCTAAGACCATGGGAACCCATCTCTTGCATCAGCATGACCTGGATGTGAGACCTGGAGTCAAAGGAGATCATTTTGGAGCTTTAAAACTTGACTGCCCTGCTGGATTTCAGACTTGCATGGGCCCTGTAAACCTGTTGTTTTGGCCAATTTCTCCCATTTGGAATGGCTGTATTTACCCAATACCTATACCCCCATTGTATCTACAAAGAAACTAGCTTGTTTTTGATTTTATAGGCTCATAGGTGGAAGGGACTTGCCTTGTCTCAGATGATACTTTGGACTATGGACTGTTGGGTTAATGCTGAAATGAGTTAAGACTTTGGGGGACTGTTGGGAAGGTGTGATTGGTTTTGAAATGTGAGAACATGAGATTTGGAGGGGCCAGGGGCAGCATGATATGGTCTGGCTGTGTCCCGACCCAAATCTCATCTTAAAATGTGTTCCCATAATTCCCACGTTTGTGGGAGGGACCTTGTGGAAGATAATTGAATCATGGGGGTGGTTTCCCCCATATTGTTCTCATGGTAGTGAATAAATCTTATGAGTTCTGACAGTTTTATCAGGGGTTTCTGCTTTTGCTTCTTCCTCATTTTCTCTTGCCGCCTCCATGTAAGAAGTGCCTTTCACCTCCTACCATGATTCTGAGGCCTCCCCAGCCATGTGGAACTGTAAGTCCAATTAAACCTCTTTTTCTTCCCAGTCTCGGGTATGTCTTTATCAGCAGTGTGAAAATGGACTAATACATATGTCTATCCTAGAGCTTTTTCAGAAAAGTTTTGGACACCTGTCAATGAAAGAATGGGAAAGAATTTCATTATAACATGATGTCACCTATATATGTTATATATACCATTATAACATGATATCACCTATAATATGTTCTTGTGACATGGGCTATGTATAAAGACATCAAATTTCCAATATAATTGAGACAGTTAAATATGTGCAGATGATATATGACACACAGAATGAATTAAATCAACGTGTGATTTTAAACTAATTTAAGTAAGTAAAGTGAACAGCTAGATGTAATGAAAGATACATCTTTTTTCCTCTACAACAAACAAAACCCAGAAAGGTATTCACTCTGCCCTCGGGTTCTGAATTTATTTGGGGGAGATTAAAAACTATACAAACAAATTGTACATTAAAAAGGGAAGCCCAGTTTGTGTTAAGCATTGAGTAATCAGATTAGACAAGAAGTGTAGTGTTCACAGTGTCATGGTAGGGTGAGAAGGTAAGGGAAGATGCTGATCTTATAGGGTGTAGGATGTAGAATAAGCTGGGTAGTGATGAAAGTTGAGGATTTGAGGGGATCAGAGAGGGCTTCTTGGAAGGGGCCCTTGGCTAAGCAGTGAAGGACAAGAGACTGGGATAAGGGAGCAGGCAAAGCAAGCAGACACGTGCAGCAGCAGGAAAGAGTGCAAATAGCGTGTGGGGTAAACCACAGGCAGGGACTGTAGCTGGAGGGGGAAGGTCACGCATGGAGGGAGAGAGAAGAGGTGGAGTAGCTTGTCAGAATTTGTATCCCTGAGGGCCTTGTGGGCCATGTTTTACCATGTAGACCACAAGACCTTTTCTCAAATGAAAAGCTTATGTGAAAGCTTAACATTCATGACCGATAAGGGCAAAGCTGCTCTAGTTAGGGCCAGAGTGGGGGTTAGAGTCTCGCCTCCTCCTCACCACCCCTGTCTGTTGCCGTCCCTGCAGCTACCCTGGTAGCTCAGACTGGCATTTCCTGTCACCTGGATTATAGCGACAGCTTCCTACTTCCAGTCTTGTCCCATTTCATCTACCCTCCACACTGTACTAGAGAGCTTTCTAAAAGGTAGTTCTGATTTTGTTGTTCCTCTATTTTAATCCCTGCAGTGGCTCCACACTGCCTTTGAGGACAAACCTAAAATTCCTAGACCCTACCTACTGCTTTTCTTTCCATTCTTGCATCACTTGCATCACACTTGCACACAGCTTTATGTTCCACCCATCCTGAAGGGCTTGAAATTTGTCTTGCTGAGCCCTTGGTTTTGTTGCTGTCACTGCCTGCCAAGGCCTCCATGCCAACCTCCGTTTAAGCCTCTGCTCAGTCACCTTCTCCAGAAGATCTTTCCTGACTTCCTTTGCCCCCCAAGTGGATCTGACCATATTTTTCTTTGTTTCAACTGTATCCATGAGTACAGATCTTTTTTTTTTCTTCACATTTTGGCTAGTTTTGTTTTTTGTTTTTGTTTTTCTCTTTCAGCTTTTATTTTAGAATCAGAGAGTACACACACAGGTTTGTTACAAAGGTATGTTGTGTGATACTGAGGTTTGGAGTATGATTGAACCTGCCATCCAGGTAGTGAGCATAGTACCCAGTAGGCAGGTTTTCACCCCTATTATTGTAACTCTGTGTGGGGACAGATATGAGATATGTTAAGAAAGTCAAACTGACAGGATTCTGTCAGGGAATGGATATGGGTGAGGGAAGGATTTGGAGGTGTCTGGAAAAACTCCCAGGCTTCTATCTGGATTGACATGCTGCACTGTCAGAGAGAACACAGGAGCAGAAGAGTTCGGAGAGGGAGAGACAATGATTTTTGCTTTGGTAAGGTTAAGTTTGGTTTGTCTGTGGGGATCCAGGTTGAGTTGAGCAATAGATTGTCAGATATATCAGCTTGGAGCATAGAAAAAATATCTGAAGGTACACATTTGGCAATCAACAGGCAGGTGGTAGGTAAATTTATTGGTGTAAATAAGATGATTCCAGGTGAGACTTATGTGAGAAGCTAAGAGAGATGTGGATGAAGTGGTTAAAGAAGGTGGAGTGGAAGCAGATGTCAGAAATCATCCTGGTTTCATTTTCTCCATCATTTTGGTCTTTGGGGCCACAGAGATAACAGAGCAACTTCACAAAAGGCCTGCAAACAGAAAAGTTATATGTATTATTCAGGCCTGGGCTACTCCAAGGCTCAATGAGGTGGCCAATCTTATCAAAGGCCAGATGATTTATCCTGACTACCACAATGGGGAAATCTCTCTAATTTCGTTATATAGTATTGCATATAATACCAGTACAATTATCATTCAATATTTAGAAAATATAAAATATAGTAATATTAAAATAGGGCTTTGAGCTTTGGGAAATTTCTGATTATTACAAGTTGATTACTTAAGTAATTTAGACACTATTGAAGTAGTGTCTCAATTCTCTGAATGTAGGAATTCTGTAAATGTTGTTCCTAGGCATAGAAGTACATTTCCACTAGAAATTATTTGTTTTTCCAAATTAACATATAAACAAATAGATAATACATTTTACAGCAAGAGAAAAGTAAGTATGGACACATTATCCCAAAGATTCTCTGTATTCTTTACCAAGAAGAAAAAAAAGTCTTCTTAGTCACAGGAAAAGAGAATAATAAATGTCTAATCATAATGTGTGGACTAAGTGACTTCATCTTGTGATAGATGAAGGTGATAGATAATTCCCTTGATGTCAAATGTGTGTTAAGTTAAATCATTCAAGCTATCTATGATGGCTGCTATGTTATTCAGTGTGAGCATTTCCTAGAGCTAACACTTTTTATTTATTCAAACACTGAAGAAGAACTTTTTTAAAACTAGAATAAGGGGGCTTTTTAGTTTTCTGGAGTGCTATATTTCATTAAATAATAACCTGTAGAAATGGTACCAGTTTCTACATGTGGGTTTTGAAGGCTGGTCTCAGTTGTCCAGGGCACTGGACTCATTTTCTTTTTTTGGGGGAGTGCTCATTTTCTACAAGGTGTCAATGAATAGGCAGGATGGAAAAACAGAGAGGCTGCCTCTCAGCCAGAGCAGTTAAATCAACCTTGGCCCACTGGGTAACTTGTCTCAGCCAGGCTACTCTTATTTCTATGTGGTCAATGAGAGGAATATCTCATGAGAAATGAAGAAGAAGAAAAAAGAATGATGTAATTTCCCTTATACCCTTCCTGGCAGGATTTCTATGAATATTCATTACTGCACGTGGGACATATATATTTTATCAGATCTGGGCTTAAACATAGAGGTACCTTTGTGCAGAAAGAATAATTCAACATGGACTCTGCATTTTTCTTAAGGAGGTATGAAATATTCAGAGCTTGTATAAATTAGGGACATAGGCGTATGCTAACTTGTTTCCAAATGTTTATTTTCTGCTATCTACCCATAATTGTCTAATTTGGGCAGTAACTATTTTTGTCTTAAAGTGAAAATATGCCTTCAAGTCAAGCAAAAATTATGTGCAATACGTTTCAATTATTTTATAATAGGAAATATGTATTTTCATTAGGTAGTATACTTATTTTTCAGAACTTTCTTGTTTTTTAAACTAGAATTTGATAAAGATGAAATGTTTATGCTATCATTTTCATTGTACCATCTGTTTAATTGTTTATTTTTACAAAAACAAAGATTTCCCATGTCATGTTTTTAGATATCTTGGGGGAAGAAATTTCAAAAAGCATTTTAAAGCACTGGTAAATATGTAACAAGTTATATTTTACATATTTTAAAAATATCTGGCTGGGTGTGGTGGTGTGTGCCTGTAGTCCCAGCTACTCAGGAGGCTGAGGCGGAGGAAGGCTTAAACCCAGTGGTTCAAGTCCAACCTGAGCGACGTAGCAAGACCTGGTCTTTATGAAAAACGTTTTTTAGAAATATATTTCAAAATAAATTAAATCAGAGAAATTTAAATGATATTTCAAGGTCAAAAATAGAGTTAGGAAGAAAATTGGGGAATACTTTCTGGTTCTCTTTAGCTCTAACCTCTCTCCAGCTCTAGCCCTGTATACAAACTCCATTTAGATGTCTTTAAGCTCCAAGTAGAACCCATCTTTATTTCTACCAGACCTGTTTCTTCATTATCTTCTCCATTTAGGACAGTTGTATCATCAGTCATGCAATTGATTAACCCCCAAACTTGGGTTCATTTTTTATTCTACTTCTTTCATCCATCCATCCTGTGGCAAGTCCTGTTGGTTTGACCTCCAAATTACTTTTCACTATTCTGCTGCACCCAAACTCGTCTGAGGCACCAGTACCTCTCACTCTGATCACTGCAATAACCTCCACAATGGCCCATTGGTATTACTTTCTCCCTTCTACCATTGATTTTTTCTTATTGAAACAAACAAACTCAGAACAAAACACTGCTCCATTTAAAAACCTCTGTAGTTAGAAGAAAACTCAACACTCTTAACCCAGCCTGTGTGGTCTGTCATTTGCTTTTCCCCTCTGGCCCTGTCTCCTCCTGTTCTCCCAATAGCCTAAGTGCTTTCTGACTTGTTCATCAGTCTATCCACAGCAGAGTGCCAAGCTCACGAGTAGGCACTCAATACATCTGTCAAATTTATGAGCAAATATTATACATATATTTTTCTGAGCCTAAAAAGAAGTTCTCTTTTGCCTCAGTGATAATCAGAACTCAAACTAAATCTTTAGGTGGATGTTCCTGTGAAATTGTGGGGTCAATAATCAATAAATGAAAGTTTAGTGCAGTCAGGGCCTGTTGTGTCACCTGTACTCTGGTCTTTCCTATAGGCTTAGTTAGCTACAGCCAATGCTGAGTTAAGATAAGAGTGATTCAAGGGCCTGAATTTTATCAGCAGGTGACTCAACTTGATGTTGCCTTAATACCAGCGCAACCCTGATCTTGTACCCTTACACTTGAATTTCTGTCTCATTTCTGAACCCAAGTTCATCTCTTGTGCCTTGGTTTGGTCACTGAGTTTCTGCCTGTTTCCTTCTGCCTCAACAACTGCTCAGCAATTCCTTCCTTCCCAGTCCAGGACTCTCCTATATTCTCGTGTCTGTGTCACTCGACCTCTATACCCAATGTCTTACTATAAGGAACATTGCCATAGATCTCCTCTAAAACTGATCCTAGTTGGGGCCCGATAGTACCACAGCTATCCATATGATGATGAATGAACAGCCACAATATTGAAACTAAGCCTTTAGAAAACACCCAGAGCTATTTATGCATAATTGTGTGAAATCTCTCAAAAGTAATTAAAAAACAATTACAACAAAATCCCCATGGTGTTCAGTATTTGCATAGTCCTCAAATATTTCTAGCTTCTTTAAAGCAAGGAAAAACAGAAGTAAGGACGTAATGTAGAGCAGCTTCTCATGTCCTGAAACATCAGTTCTAGTTATGGACCAAGTGGGCAATGCTTAAGGTAATGCCCTTATAAATTACTTTTCAAATATTGGAACTCACCATTGATTCTATCAGAGAACCTGGATCCCACCATGACAAATAGCAAATCTCTTTTTTTCTAGAAGGATATTTATATGTTTAGAGGCATTCTACTATTGGAGATATAATTTATGCCTTTTAAAGAATTTAAAATTATAAGGATAAAAATTGTAAGGTTATAATTATAAGGATATCAATTATAAGAATATAATTTATACCATTGCAGTTATCTTGTTGGGAGTTTCTGCTAAACTATAATGCACAAACAAACCAAAATAATAACTCTATTACTGTTTTTTAAAATTGAAATAATACTTTGGAGTATACATTTAAATGTTATGATAACTTGGAAAACACAAAAACAGTAAGTTTCAGTACTATTATTGGGGATATATTTTATTGTTAAGGTGGAAATAGGAGAAAACAAATGAAAATAAATTTTATGAAAAATGTTCATTTAATCTAGTAAACTTCACATTCCACAATTGATAATGTACCATCAGCTGAGAACCACTAGTCTAAGAATTATTAAGTTACTGTTGTGGGTTAACTTGTGTTTCCCTAAAAGATGTCAAAGTCCTGACCCCCAGTACCTGTGAATGTGACCTATTTGGAAATAGGGTCTTTGTAGATGATCAAATTAAAGTGAGGTCATTGGGGTGGGCTCTAATCCAATATGACTGGTGTTCTTACAAAAAGGGGAAATTTGGACACAGAGACAGGTACATTCAGAGGGAGAATGCCATCTGAAGTTTGGGATGATGCAACTGCAAGCCAACAAACATTAAAGGTGGCCACAAACTACCAGAAGCTAGGAGAGAGACAGGGAACAGATTCTCCCTCACAGTCCTCAGAAGGAATCAATCCTGCCAACACCTTGATCTTGGATTTCTATCCTCCAGAGCTGTGAGTCAATGAATTTCTGTTGCTTGAAACACCCAGTGTGTAGTGCTTTGTTATGGCAGCCCTAGCAAACCAATGCAGCGAGTCGGCTAGTTCTATGCATTATTGCGCGTGCACTCTCTCTCATTTAAATACTATTGAGCAACAGTAGAATGATTTCTTCCCCAAATTTCTACCTGACAGCTGTGCTATCTTCTATTTACTCCTCCTGGTCCTCTCCTTTCCTGCCGCTCTATGCTCTAGGAGGCGTCTCTATGAACAACATCAATGGACTCCCTTGCCCTCTGGATTTCACTAGGGTTCATCCAGTGGGAGGCAGCAGCAAGTGATGCAGAGACAGACAGAAAAGTGAGGTTGAGGTATTCTTTGCCCTGGTTCCTCCTTTTTCTCTGGCTGAAGGTCACAGTTCCTGTCAGGTCTCACAGGTGTCCTCTCCATACAACATGACTCTCTGTGGCCACTCCCTCCATTGCCCCTACAGGCCCAGCATGCTGCCCTAATCCCTGTGGTTCCCCCAACCCTGCCGCCACACATTAAACCTTCCTCAAATCATCTCACCTTCAGTGAGCCTTCTGTTTCCTGCTGGGAAGCTTGGGCTATCAAACTCAGTATGTAAAAACATGTGAAAATGCTGATGATTGGTTTAAGGTAAGAGGTATGGTCTGGGGCCCAGTTTCCTAAACTTTTAAAACAAATGCCTTCGAGACTTTATAGTGGTTCTAGTTTTCTGGATCCTTGAAGCCTAGAAGCATAAATTTAAATGCCCCCAAGGACCAGTCAGGTAGCAAAAACAAGTGGAGTGGGGGCATTGGGGCAGGACTTTGGGGACTTGTGGAAGAAGCCGCAGTTGAAAGGGCTGCAGCTACCCAGCTTAAGCTGACTTTTTGCCACTTGGAAATGTGAACCCAGTGTGCTAAGACTGATTTTTTAAAAAAATAGAAGCCAGAAATCATCACTATTTTTATGTGGATGCCATGGTTATTTAATACTATCAACCAGTCAAACACTATGAAAACACAGTAGGCTAAGAAAAATAGTGCTGCAATCTAGATTTGGGTCACAGGCCACAAATCTGTGACCTCTGCTCAGCTCAGTCATTGCATCCTCTTGGATGGCCAGGAACCACCTGGACCACATGACCCTAGACCCTCTGGAGGAATTACAATATAACAATATGCCTAGGTTGTATTAAATTAAAAGTTGATGCAGAAGAAAACATCCCTACCATTTGTGTAATGCACTTTTGAAGACTTTTTTTTTTTTACTAGATTGTCATTCTTTCCTTAAAGATATACAAAATAATTTTTTCTCTAGAATTTAGCTCCAGAAAAAAAGTCTATACTTTTCCTTAACCAGAAAAACACACACCTTGTTTTTCTGGTTAAGGAAACAAGTAATAGAGTGGCTCCTATGTCAGGCATCACACTTGGTATTTTACTTAGAGCAAGCTAAGCTCTAAACTCTGAAATCCCATTGACTAAACACCCAAAGTTAATCTTTCACTTACACAAAGTCCTCTATGGGTCAGGTAACTCTCCACAGCCGCTATTTCCTTTGTGATCCAAGCTGCCTGGATGGGGTGGCGCCACTGAATCAATATGTCTGCCTCACAGAGGTGGTGCGGGGCTTGTGTGGCCTCAGTCTGGAAGGAACACTGTGTTGCTTCTCCTCACAATTCATTGGCCCAAACTAGTTTCGTGCCCCTGTAGAATTGTCAGGGGGCTGAGAAATGTAGTTTTTCCATGCACTCGGGAAGGAGGGGAGATCACAAGTGGTGAGCGCTAGCCATGTCCTCTATAGAGTCATCTTCAATCCATTATCTGAATGCTATGAAAGCTATTATAGTTCTCTTTTTTTGCCTTTGATGACAGAAGCTCAGAGCTACTAATTGTAGTATAGAGTTTTCCTAAATATGCTTCAGACATTTTTCCTTCTTCCTTCCCATATTAGGTATTCTTTCTTATTTTAATGTCCTTATTGTTTATATACTTTTTTTCTTTAGGTAAACTGCTTCTGAGTCATTGTGGAAGAATAGTAAAGGAATTAATTAATGGAAATAAATAGGAAAAAGTGAAATATACAGATGTTTGCTTCATAGCTATCACTGATGCTTAACCAGGGTTCTTGAGTCTAACAAGAGGCATGGATACTAACAATGGTGATGGTAGCAACAAAACTAGTCCTCTACTCGGCAGGGCCTTTTCTCTCCTGTTCGATCAGTGTTCTCCAGAAAACAAAAACAAAAACAAAAACAAAAACCAGAATCAATGGGATGTGTATATATAAAAATAGAGATTTATTTTGCAAAAGTGGCTCATTCAACTATGGAGGTTGACAAGTCCAAAATCTGTAGTTCCAGTCTGCTAGCAGTCAGGAAGGGCCTGGGGACAGGCCTAGGGAAGAGCTGATTTTGCAGTTCAAGACAGAAGGCAGTCTGCTGGCAAAATTTCCTCTTGCTTCAGGGAGGTGGGGTAAACAACTAATACAGCAGGACAGCTGGCAAACAAACAGACATCTGTGAGCTGTCCAAGAGTATGTTATTGCTATTATTCTATTCAGGCCTTCAACTGATTAGGTGAGGCCCAACCACATGATGCAGAGAACTCTGTTTTACTCAGAGTCTACTGATCCAAATGTTAATATCATCCGAAACACCACAGAAACATTCAGAATAATGTTTGACCAAATTTCTAAGCATCATGGCCCCAACAAGTTGACATAAAATTAACCTTCACACCTACCATGCCCTTCCCTGAGATGGCCCTTGTGAGCTCACTGTAATCCTACCGTCTTGCCTCCTTGTGGGTCCCAGTATGCATTGACAGCCGTTGCTATACTCCTGCCTGGTTCTGACCTCACACTGCTACCTACTGTCTTCACCCAAGTCTCCCTTTTCATTGTAATTCTTTTCCCAGGTTCTCAAGAATGGTGGCCCTGTTCTGACAGTTTTCTTACAGTCCTTTGCCAGAAGAATTTAAGATAAGCACCTCCAGAGGCTTTTTGATACCCAGTGATAAGCATCTTGGAGGATATTTCAGTAGCTTTATTTATTTATTTTGAAACGGAGTCTTGCTCTGTCACTCAGACTGGAATGCAGTGGCACGATCTCAGCTCACTACAACCTCCGCCTCCTGGGTTCAAGTCATTCTTGTGTCTCAGCCTCCTGAGTCGGTAGCCTTATTTATTATGGTAAGGAGTTCTCTTTCAGTCGCTACCACTTCTCAGAATCCCAAGCCTGTTGCGGCTCAGGGTGTCTTATTTGACTACAGAGTGTTCTGGGGGCTTTGATTTCCTCTCATTTTGAGACCTTGTCAGTCCTAACGAATTCTCTCTCACAGTGGACCATTAAGTTGGCATACAGCCTGGGTAACATGGCAAAATCCCATCTCTACCAAAAAAAAATAGATACATGAAATTAGCCAGGCATGGTGGGGTATGTGTGGTCCTACTTACTTGGGAGACTGAGGCAAGAGATGCACCTGAGCCCCGGAAATCAAGTCTGCAGTGAGTCATGATCCTGCCTCTGCATGCCAGCCTGGGTGACAGAGGAGACCGTGCCTCAAAAAAAAAAAAAAAAAAAAAAAAAGGTGGCATAGATATGGAGCTAGAGGCAGGGTAGCTGCAACCAAGTGGTGAATGTTTCTGGCAGAAGAACGTTAAAGGTTTTTATAAACGTTTTGTTCTAATGATCGAATGCATATTATGTGGCAGGTTCATGTGCTATTTAATTTCTCACAACAACCTATGAGATTTACAGTATAGCCCACTTTACAGATGAAAAACTGAGTCTCAGAGAGGTGGATTCACTTACAGATAAACAGCTAAGACAATAGCACAACTGGGAAGGGAACAGTCATCTGAGAGACATTTAAGAG
The DNA here is from genome assembly GCF_000001405.40 of Homo sapiens. NCBI lineage: Eukaryota > Metazoa > Chordata > Mammalia > Primates > Hominidae > Homo > Homo sapiens. The sequence goes on from NC_000012.12 coordinate 77,227,899, forward strand.
TGCTCTGTTGGCCGGGCACGGTGGCTCATACCTGTAATCCCAGCACTTTGGGAGGCCGAGGCAGGTGGATCACCTGAGATCAGGAGTTCGAGACCAGCCTGGCCAACTTGGCGAAACCCTGTCTTCACTACAAATACAAAAATTAGCCAGGCATGGTGTCTGGCACCTGTAATTCCAGCTACTCAGGAGGCTGAGGCAGAAGAATCACTTGAACCCAGGAGGTGGAAGTTGCAGTAAGCCCAGATCGTGCCACTGCACTCCAGCCTGGGTGACAGAGTGGACTCCATCTCACAAAAAAAAAAAAAAAAAAAAAAAAAAAGGAGTGCTCTATTGCCACTCTACTTCCCTGTCTCCCAGACCGAGGAGTCCATGTACAAGATGAACCTTCCTCTGAAACTCCAGCTAAATGGCAATTGTTCAGAAATGGATTTATTCCATATGCAATAATTAATAATATTCCACGATGGTCCATTTATTGGTAAGTTGTCAATGACTCAAATTCCTCAAGATCTCCACCTTAAGGGGATTAAAGAAAAACCAGCTCTAAGGAAGGCATATTATTTATAAAAAGCTGAGGTAGGAAGCAAATGAACTTATCTCCAGAGATAATCTCTTTAAGCATGAAGGAAGCACCTACCTTGACTTCTTAGTTCCTTCTCTAGAGCTACTTTCCTGACTGAGATAGGAATGTAGGATAAAGTGAGGTGTCCTCTTCCTGATGCTGCAGCTAAGATTTTCATCTTGCTAGGGTATACAAAGCACTCTCAGGCTCAGCAGGAAAATATTGAAGTTAAGTTTTCTCTCCCCTCATGAGCTTTATCAGATTTTCATGCTACAGAGAATAGTGAACATGCTGGAGTGGCAGCGATAAATGAAAAGTCCCCATGGGTGAAGGGAAGACATGATCACCACCAGCACTCTACTTTTTCATTTCTGCTGAACAAAAAAGAAATGGTTTAGCAATCTGTGGGTAACTATTGTGTCATAAGGAAAACATGCGATTGGATTTGCACTTACTTCAAGGATAAATGAATCTCTTCTTAACACTCATTGACTTCATTCTTCAACTTCATCATTTTCAGTTTTCAACCTTCTTTCTCTTGAGGAAAAGAAGAGGAACAGCAAGAAATAACATTTGGGTGCTCTTCTACATAAAATAATTTGATGAGACCTTTTGATAACACCTAGGAATGGACAGACATCAAGATAGTTTTAGACATCTCCCTATTATTTGCAGGTACCAAGAAGCTAATGAACAGTGCAAGAGCAAAATTAATACAAACTCAAAAAAAATTATAGATTTCAAATGAAGTGTTTATTTTTAAAGAATAGGATCTATGCCTTGAGAATGATATAAAATTGGGCCACTAAAATCTTTTTTATTTCCTTATCGGATAGCATTTTAAAACCAAATTTACATGGACACATAGTTGAATTGGTCAATTAATCCTGTAAGATGTATGAAGACCCCAGTTTCCTTCCTCAATTTAGGGGATGCTGGTTATGTTAATAGATTTTAACAAATGACAAAAGAAGCGGAGCTAATTAACTCCTGTTTTGTTTTCGTCTTCTCTAACAAAAACGATACTCTTAAAACAGGAAAGCATTTATCAAGCAACATACAGGATAAACTATAGTTTAACATGGGTTAAGGTGTAAAGAGAAAACAACCTACTTTGGATGAACTCAAATGTTCATGCCTTAACAACTTATTTCTAAGGATGCTGAAGTAACTTTTTAGGTTCATTTTAGAACTCTGAAATTCCAAGCCATCACCTGGAGAATGAGAAAGTGTGTAAGAAAGGTAAATGTCCTATTTAAAAAAAAAAAAAAAAAACAACAAAAAAACAGGAAATGGCTGCTTAAATTCCAAAGTGACTTTGCAAAAGATAATTCACAGCATTTAGAAGCAAATGAAGTGGTCACTAAAAGGCACTCTGATTTTCCACTCTGGGTTCCCAGGATATCTAGTGTGTCAGTGAGTACAGAGGGTGGCATTGCTGCCTTTCCCTTTCCTCGTCTCAGTAAGTTTGGGAGCATATGCTACAACAATGTTATAGCTAGCTTTCAAAAACCATTTGAAAAAACATTAGAATATCTTTGTGAATAATACGGAGAAAGTTAGGCTGAATGACAGTATGGCACGGTGATGTTGTGGTTGTTTGAGCAGTGCTATCTCCTCCTTCTCCTCCCCACGTCAAAAGGTTACTATAGAGAAATGTCAAGCATCAGCATAACTGAGTGAATTAAAGCTGTTGAAATTTCAGGCATCAGCGAGGCAATGGGGAGATGGTTTCTGCAAAGGTCTTTTTGGCATCCCCTCAAATAATATCAAGTTGGCAACTTCTTGGTTATAGTTCCTGACGATAATATCCCTTGAGTAAATATTTTTAAAGCCCAAAATGAGCTTTGCAAAGAATGAGAAAAGCAAAACAAAGGACTGTTTCATATTTAAGATTTAAATCTCTGTTCTTGGACCTGTGCCTAGTTCTATCAAAACAGTGATATCCATCCAACAAATCCCATACAAACTTTCTGCAGTGAACATCTACAGAAATGCTGATTTTCTAAATGAACTATTGAAAAACTACTTTATTTTCTTTATATTTTAAAAAGCTCTTTAAAAAGCTAAATGTATCGAGACCATCCCGGCTAAAACGGTGAAACCCCGTCTCTACTGAAAATACAAAAAATTAGCCGGGCGTAGTGGCGGGCGCCTGTAGTCCCAGCTACTTGGGAGGCTGAGGCAGGAGAATGGCGTGAACCCGGGAGGCGGAGCTTGCAGTGAGCCGAGATCCCGCCACTGCACTCCAGCCTGGGCGACAGAGCGAGACTCCGTCTCAAAAAAAAAAAGCTAAATGTGCCTAATAAGTGTCACTTCAGAAAACTTATTTTCACCATGAAGTAAATAGGAAGATGGTTTTATTATTTTTACAAATGACAAATAAAGCCCTTATACATGAGTTGGACAAGATAACTGACTGAAAAAACTGGTGTCAGACCAACATTTCTCATCTCCTTTCCTTGTGTAACTTGCATTAACTTTTTTTGAAATGAAGATTTTTATTAAATAAAATTTGTATCTGTATTTGTATTTGTATCTGAATTATTTTTATTTTTATTTTGAGATGGAGTCTTGCTGTATCACCCAGGCTGCAGTTCATTGGGGCGATCCTGGCTCACCGCAACCTCTGCCTCCCCGGTTCAAGCGATTCTCCTACCTCAGCCTTCCGAGTAGCTGGTATTACAGGCACATACCACCACACCCGGTTAATTTTCTGTATTTTAGTAGAGATGGGGTTTCACCATGTTGCTCAGGGTGGTCTCAAACTCCTGAACTCAGGCACTCTGCCCACCTCAGCCTCCCAAAGTGCTAGGATTATAGGTGTGAGCCGCTGTGCCTGGCTGTATCTGAAAATTTGATACTGAGGTAGAAAAAGCTTCTTCACTGTGATATTTCACAGTGACTGGCAAGATGGAAGTCTTGCATCTATGCTCTGACAGTTTGAAAGGAGGAAAAATGCAGCTTGGTTCACTGTTTAGGGTGCTACTTTGTTCAGTTGTACAGATTTAATAAATCCTGCCATGTTGTGGTTCAGCTTTATTTGGTTTTGTGCTCACCCAAACTCTTGAGAATAAACTAAATCACTTTCTCTCTCTAGTACTGTGTTAGCTCTGTGCCTTGAATGGAAATGAAATGCAAATGCTTTCATTGCACTATTCCCTTGTTAATTTATCACGTTTAAACACAGCAACATATTGGAAAACCTTGTTATTTCGTAATCTTCAGATTCTTTGCACAATGATATTAAGAACAGAATAATGAGTAGAGATAAGCCAAAGGGAAGCACATTTCTACAGGGCGACTGGCAGCGGTCCCACAGCCATTAGTGTGTGGTATCTGGTGAAATTGCTGGAGTTGGCTTGCCCTCCGACTTCATGACAGAGCAAAAAAGAAGGAAGAAAAAAAAATCCCCAGAATTAGAGGAAGTGAGTGAAGCACCACTTTAGAGTCTTAATTATGCTCTAAAATCGTTTATTCTCTCCTTCAAAAATGTATGTTTTGGTAATGCTCATGCTGTGTGGATTTGTAGTTAAAAGTTAATAACAAATACTAATAAAAAGCAATACGGAGTTTCAACTTCCAGGAAAGGATGAAGTGAAAGAAGTGTTTAGCAGGGTATAGCATAAACTCTTACACCAGAGGTACCCAATAAACATTTGTGGACTTGACTGATGCTTCATGAGTGGATTTAGAAGCTGTTCTGTTGTAGTCTTGACATAGCAGGAGTAGAAGTGCTAACCACAGCCAGATGTTGGGGATCATCCAAGAGGCTAAGTTTGTGGGTGGGAATAGGCACTCAGAGATGATTATACACACATGAAGGGAGAGATAAAAGGTGTTGGAGCTTCTTCCTAGTTGGCTCTTCTTTCTTAGCACATCTTTTTATCCAAGTTGGAGCTCTGACTCATCAGATTTGGTTTCAAATCCCGCCTTAGAATAAACAAACATCACTCAACATGCATTTAGACAACATTTTACAAATGGTTGCAACCTAAACCTACTTTCCTTCACATATGCCATTGTTCTGGACCTCATTCTCAAATCTCAACAATCGTGTTTCAAAAATAGCTGGTATGGTTTTCTGTAGAAGTTTTTGACCTCAGGAGAACATTGGTGAGCTTGATTGCACATGAAGTCATAGAGACATTTTACATGGCATTTGCTGACCATATATATCATCCAATTTGTTTTATAAATTTTGACCCTCTGTGATGCCTGTCTCCAATTCTTAATATGTATTAATAGTTTAAAATTTGGATCAACAAATAAAGCCTAAACAACCCCTGAGGCAGTTTTTGAAAGTATTTTGTCCACCAAAATTCTATTTTAAAATGTTCATGTCTGTTTATATATTCTCCAGTATCATATTATCCTATTAACCCGTTGTCTTACCTAATTTTCTACCTCCTTTTCTCCCTTCCTTTTTCCTTCCTTCCTTCCCCCTCCCTCCCTCCTTCCCTCCCTCCCTCTTTCCTTCCTTCATTCCTTCCTTTTTCCTTTCCTTCCTTCCTTCTTTCATTCCTTCCTTTCCTTCTTTCTTTCCTTCCCTCCCTCTCTGATATTTGATAATGTACCTTACTTGACCTTTCCTTTCCTTTTGTTTCCTTTCTTTCCTTCCCTCCCTCTCTGATATTTGATAATGAACCTTACTTGACCTTTCCTTTCCTTTTGTTTCCTTTCTTTCCTTCCCTCCCTCCCTCCCTGATATTTGATAATGTACCTTACTTGACCCACCTTTCCTTCCTTCCTTCTTTCCTTCATTCCCTCCCTCCCTTCCTTCCCTCCTTCCCTTCCTCCCTCCATCCCTGATATCTGATCATGTACCTTACTTGACTCAGCCTTAGAAAGCCCCCTTCCTTCCTTCCTTCTATCCATCCATCCATCCATCCATTCATCCACCCATGGGGGGTGGTGGAGCTATTTACTAAGATTGGCAAGACTGAGAGAAAGAGGGGTAATCAAGAGTTCAAGTGCAGACATAAACATTTTATATTTGAAATGTTAGCAAATGTCCAAGTGAGGATGTCAGGGTACAGGGTATATGAGATAGGAGCCCAGAGGAGGGGGTTAAGCTATAGTTAGACATTTGAAAATCAACAGTGAATTAATATGCTTATAGCCACAAGATTCAATAAAATCGCTTAAAGAGTGAGTGCAAGTAAAGAAAAGAAACGGCCAAAGACAAAACTCAGGGCATTCTAACATTTCAAGTTCAGGTAGAGAAAGAGGTAAAATAATATTTGAATGTTAATGCAATTTTATTTTAAAGAGTCACTCATCCCTGTTGACCTGCTATTTATTTAGAGTTCACATAATGCATAGTTATCTCTTTGGAGAACTTTAAAAAAATTGCTGTTTTTAGTCTAGAATGTCTGATGGAAGTTGTTTGGCCCAGGACTGTGAAGGTGATCATATTAGTATTAGGAGTATTAGTTGCGAGGCCAATTCTTAGATAATGGGGCTTTCCAAGGCTGAGTCAAATAAGGTACGTTATCAAATATCAGAACTACAAAGGTGTCAGTACCTGTCACGGGGAAAATGTAAAATGCAATTGGGGAATAAGATAGGAGTGTCTAGAACTGGGGATCTCAGAAAAGTGAAGGTAAAATTGGGAGGAAGCAAGATAAACAAAGGTAAAACTAGTAGGTCAGAATAAGGCTGTTTGAGATGAGGCTGGAGTTTGAAGTCAGTTCAAGAACCAATCTCCTAAACACTTTCTGCCATATTCCTTTTAAGCTGTGCCTGAAACAGCCAAACCACATCAGACAAAAGCTACCCTCCCTCCCGCCACTTTTTTTTTTGGCATTTCTAATTTTGAAATGCACAGTCAGTTTCTCCCAAATGTTCTCCTCATTTTCAATTCTAATGATTAGAATCATGCCCAATGCTTCCTTCTAAGAGTATCACTCAGATTTAATCAACATGACTGAGTGTTAGCTATCCACCAGGCTCCAGGCTGGTCAACTGCTCAAACACTGGCTTATTTTTAGGGATTAAATTGTCATCTCAGAAAAGGCAGAAGTTCATTTTAATAGCTTACACTGCCATAGTTTAGAAACCATGTGTAAATTTCCTAAATCCTCTTGTGTGCCATATTCACTTAATAGTTTGTCTCATCTGGAATATTTGAAAATTTAGTCCTGTATGATTTAAATATGGTGTCAGGGGAAGTCTTCACAGTTAATTTTCTTCTCCCATGCAGAGAAGGACACATCTGACATAATATAACAAGTCACATTGCCAGAGTAAGAATAAATAGCAAGCTATAAACCAACAAATAAGAAACCGAGTCATAAAATGAAAGTGCTTTAAAAATGTGGCCAAATACTGTTATTGTGGAGAAGCCTGAATCTGGCATTAAATTACGCCAAGTGGACCTTTGGCTATGTTATCCAGGTCATTGTCTTTTCTGAGACCAGATTTTTTTTTTTCCTGGGTTTTCTGGGTTCTTAAGACCCTCAAGTGAATTAATGGGATTAGAGAATCATTTTCAAAATTTTAAGAACTTAAAGAACATTTTACACTTACTCATCCGGGACAAAGCTACACCAGCTCAGTAAAACTTTGTATCTTTGCCCTTACCTTCATTTTCCAACTGTACCATCATATCATTTCTGACAACCTTGTCAGACCCAGAAACTTCAATGTGTTCCTCTAGTCTCAGTTCTTCATCCCCTTTCCAATGGGATGCTGGTTACTTTATCATGAACAGATTCTATTAATATATCTTCAAACCAACACACATGAATAAATTGGTTACCCACTAAATGGTATACACTCCCTGTCATGTTTTCCACTTGGAGTTGATCTGTTCCTCTGGAGAGGCAGGATGGGCAGGAGAGCAGCCAAGCTTTCCCATCCCCAGATGTTAGGAGACTGAGCCTCTACTGTGTCCCATTCCAGGGTTCTCCCGATCCCTTCCTGTCAGGGACGCTGCTGTGTACATCAGATGGATCAGTGTCATAGGAAAGAGCATGATTTGTTACTTGACTAGGACCAGTAGCAGAAAAAGAAACTCTTGAGGTGCACAAGCTTAACTCTTTTACTTAACGTCATCTTCTTCCCCTTCAGGACAGTGCTCTTTGTCTCTGGTAGAAACTTCTCTCAGGAGACCCCCAAACCAGTAATTAAAAATATTAGATATCTATTAGAATCACCTGAAGAGTTTATAAAACTCAGTTTTTTAATGTTTTTTTTGTCTGTTTTATTTTTATTTTTATTTTTTTGAGACAGAGTCTCTCTCTGTCACCCAGGCTGGAGTGCAGTGGCACGATCTCGGCTCATTGCAACCTCCGTCTCCTGGGTTCAAGTGATTCTCCTGCCTCAGCCTCCGGAGTAGCTGGGATTACAGGTGTATGCCACCATGCTTGGCTAATTTTTATATTTTCAGTAGAGACATGGTTTCACCATGTTGGCCAGACTGGTCTTGAACTCTGGCCTCAAGTGATCCACCCACCTCAGCCTCCCAAAGTGCTGGGATTACAGGCATGAGCCAGCATGCCCTGCCAAAACTCAGCATTTTTTTTTAAAGCTCCCAGGTAATTCCAATGTCCCTCTAAAGATATCCACCCCTGCAATATGCCTTCTCCCAGGTTCCAGCTAACAAGATCAAAAGAACTCTGCCTCTTATTATCATCTCATTGTTAATTTGCATTTTTTCCTAGCATAATGTCATTATGATCAGGTGGAGGCAGCCAGGAGTAGAATAGGTACAACTGAGTTTGACTAAGACTTTTGCCTCTACTTGGTAAAACTCTGTGTTCTTGGCTGCTCCCACTCTTGAGGTTAAAAGAATGCAAGCCACTTCACATTTCTGCCAGTTTGCTTTTGTTTTATTCTTCTCTCTCCACATGGTTTGGCTCTCTCTCTCTCTCTAGAAGTAGTTCTGGCTGATCTACAAAATTTCTCCAGAATTTGATATTTAATAGTTTGATGTCCTTCCCATCTTTTAAATACTTGATTTCCCCTCTCTGGTCAATATTTGCCTGTCAATAGTAGATCATATCTTATAAAACTGGGTCTTATGGTGAAAGAGAATAAAAGAGACTTTGGTGAAAGAGTGGGTGATTTAGAAAGTGTCTGTGCTTGGGTCAATGGTAGAGATTTTAATCACCACGTGGTGAAAGTTGAAGGTATCTTGGGCTCACTGTTCAGGGTAGCAGAGACGGCTCCCTGGCCTGCAATGTCTGTTCAGGGTACATAGCAATGCCTAACTGGGGTCTTTACCAGAATCAACCTGCAAACCACAGACCAGGCTCCATCCCTGAAAGGAACTGGCTTGCTCTGACATTAGTGGTTTTGAATTAGGTCAAATATTGCTGGCTTCACAAGGTCTCCAACTACAGCTGGGACCTCCACTAGTATATGTACTGAAGTCACATCAGCATTCTTTTTGAAACATCAGGGTTAGCTCATCCTTTATGGGCCAGGCATATTCATTTCTATGGGTATCTCTTGCTTGACATCATGAGTTGTGCCTCCCATCTAAAAGAAGACCCCAAATTCACTGGTCCCTGAACCAAATTTCATTCCATGATCAACCAGCTTCTCTATATTCTCACTTTGTTTACAGAATGCTCTTGTTATTTCTTTACCAGAACTAAAATATGACTTCCTCATGAATGTATGTCATTTCCACTGGATCTCCTCAAATTCAGGGACCATAAAGTCAAAAGATGGTGTCAACCTTCTGCCTTCTCTACAAAATGTAATTTCATTATTCTTCCATCTTCATGAGAAAACATTCTGCCATTCTGAAGATTCTGCCATCTAGGATGATGTCCTTTCTCTCTCATCCCCAGCATCTACTTCCCTTGGTTAGTTCCTTATGTGAATTATAAATGTGGGCAACTGTTTCACCATCATCATGTCCAACACAAATTCTAACATTATTCTTGCTATATTAGCTATATTTTGTTTGTGAGTAGAGAAGGGTGGAAATTTGTATATTATACTTCATCTGTGCATAAAGTAGGATGCTGTTTAGAAGATAATTCATCTCATCTTGCACTTTAGTCTCCATTTTCCTCATAGTGGGAAAGATAATGATAACACCAAAAAAAAAAAAAAAAAAAAAAAGAAAAAAAAAACAAAACTAAAAAACCCAAAGCTTAAGCTTATCCTTTTGAAGTATGCAGTCTTTTTGAACTTTAAAACATATCTTTGAGGTTGTTTCAGGTTCGTCATTTGGATAAATGATCATTTAAGTCAATGTTGCATTCTTTATCAGGGTAATTTCTCCCCTTTCTTAAAAGGAGTTCTCTTTTATCCTCTTTCTCAAGAGAAAGTACAAGAGATGCTAATAGACCTCTTAGCACTGAGGCAGAGGTTCCTGGTCTGAATCTACCTGGACCATTGCTGGTTTTGAATGCAGTGGGCTAAGCTGATCTTACCCTAGGCATTGGCGTTGGCTGGGGTGTAGCTAATCCTGCTTGATGCTTTGGGGAGTGTGTCCTGGTATTCATATAAGTTAGAGGCACCCACCACAAATTCCTTGCATGCTGTGGCCTTCTCATCCCTACCTAAAACCCACTTCTGGTTCAGTGGTTCTCTTAGCACCTCTATGTACTCATTGGGGGTTCAGAGACAGGGAACCCTCAGCCAATTACTTTACACCATGCTGGAGTATGCGGTGCTCTGTGTTACTCTGTGCCATAATGGAGTATGTGGTGCTCTGTGTGAACTACCCTTGACTTGAACAGCTAGTTACCTTCCTCAGACCCTTCTAATCCCTTGTCCACAAGATCTCCACTCACACCTCCAACCAGAAAGTAAAACACAAGCCTTTTCTGTTTATAACTTTCCCTTCAAATCCCCTAAGATTTCTGTGCAGCTTTCTGCCTTCTGCATCTTCCTTTCTTCTCATCTGTATTTCTCAAAACAGAGGCTGCTGCTCCCAACATGGTACTGAAACTGCTCCTCATAAGGCCACAGGAATTCTTCTAACTGCTCAGGCTTTTCTGTATTTTCTTACTGTGCCTCTCTGCTTCATTCAACATCCTGGTCCCTTTATTTTTTAAATGCTGCTCTTTCCTCGTTCCACTCAGAACCTTTTGCCTGTTTCCTATATTGTTTTCCTTTCAGTGCTGGTGTTTATGGAAACTCCGTCCTTGAATTGTTTCTATTCTTATTACAGCCAAATCCAGGAAGAGAGGATATTCTCCCTGAGTGACTGCTTTTATTGTCATGTTAAAACACTTTCTTTATATGGCTGCTGCAAAAAAATATGTGTATCTCCAGCTCAAAACTTTTCTCCAAGCTTTAGACTCAATATTGAACTACCTCCTGGATAGCTCCAGGTCTCCCAGACTCAACATATACAAACTGAACTCATCATTCTTTCCTGCTTTTAAAGATATACTATATTTTAAATCTCAATCCAGCCACCAAAGCTAGAGAACCTCATCTTTGGTTCCTTTAACTTTTTAAAATCACATATTTATTAAATCCCAACAAACTTCTTCTTCTTCTTTCATATCTGTCAATGACCTGTCAGTCATCTACCTATCTATCATGTAGCTATCATCTCTCTCTCTCTCCTATCTATCTATCTATCTATCATCTCTCATCTATCCATCTGTCTTCCACCATTATTTGTCTACAAAGAAAATTTCCTAAAAGTTTACATATAGTAAGATGGTTAAATGTTAACACAAATAAAAATTTCAGAATAGGGTAAATATACATTTTCTAGAAGGGGAAAAAGAAATATGTAAATAATTAAGACCCAAATTGTTAGTTGTTGTTGCCATAATTAAACCTTAAATTTGGCACCAAACTTTTGAGCAGCTAAAGTAAAAGTAAGACTAGGTCAGTTACCTAACTCTTCTTATTAGAGAAAACAAGGGAATCTTCGTAACCTAAGTTGAAAACTCTGATTAGCTGAAGCTTTATGCTGAGAAAGGTTTTCTTATCTTTTCCTTTTACTTAAAGGTCACCTGAAATTAGCCCTTTAGCCAATTCCCTGTGGAAAATGTCCTTTGAGTATTTAATGCTGTCAAACCTCTCTCTGAAAGAAAGATCTTTTTCCATTTTTCCCAGCCTGACTGTCTGAAGCTGAGGACCTGTATTCTCTGTAGTAGTTCCTAGTCCTCCTGTTTGACTTACAGTTGTTGTTTCTCTTTCTTAAAGTTCAGGTTTCTTTGCAACTCGCATTTTCAAACCATCAAACTAGTTTCAAGCAGATTTACATGTTTAGAGATTTTTAGTTTGGGTCTAAGTTGTGTTCTCTTTTGAATTCAGATATGTCTAGACAAGCCCATGGGCCCAGTGGGGCTGACTCACTTGCCAGGGCCATATTTCATCAAATGATAGGGGAGTCTTTGAAAATTGTACCTGCATTAATGCCATTAATGGGTAGTGAGAGTGCCTCTTACAGTTATGATTCATGAATGAAGCAATATCTTTACAATGGATGCTTGTTAGCCTACATCTACATTGAGAAGAAGAATATAGTAGTATCTTCCGGCACTAGAGCAGGGAGGCCACACACAATGTTTCTAGTATTTGTGCCATCCCTTCACTGGGAATAGAGGTGGCAGTGGTGTGTTGTGACGGAGGCTTCCAAGTACACAGTGCAGTGGTGAAGAGCTCAGGCTGGACTGGAATTCTGGATCTGCTTTCTCATGTAGTGGCCATGGGGCAACTTCCTTTGCCTCTCTGAACCTCAGTTGCTCTGAGGATTAAAAATAAGGCATGTGTCACGCCTGTCATCCCAGCACTTTGGGAGGCCGAGGCAGGCGGATCACCAGGTCAGGAGATTGAGACTATGCTGGCTAACACGGTGAAACCCCGTCTCTACTAAAAATACAAAAAAACAAAATTAGCCAGGTGTGGTGGTGGGCGCCTGTAGTCCCAGCTACTCAGGAGGCTGAGGCGGGAGAATGGCTTGAACCCGGGAGGTGGAGCTTGCAGTGAGCCGAGATCGCGCCACAGCACTCCAGCCTGGGGGACAGAGCGAGACTCTGTCTCAAAAAAAAAAAAAAAAAAAAAAAGGCACGTGAAGTAGTTGGCACACAGTAAGTGCTCAATATCAGATATTCCCATAGAAATGTGGGTGAAGGGAGGGGGAAAATGACATGCCATCACAGGTGAAGGATAGTTTTGGACAGCTCAGGTGAGATACCCTGTAGGGGCTTCATAAGCCAATTGAGGAAAGGTTTGAGGAGGGCTGGAATTCTTCGACTATATAATATATGGAAGCTCAATAGACCTGTGTGGTCTCATTTCCTGTTTGCAGAAATTGGGTCCTGACCCAGGGATATGGTAGTTTATAAGAATTAGGATGAGAAAGTCCTTGCTTGAGCTTCTTTCCACCTCTGGATTTATTAAAGTCATATAATCTAGAGTCCTTTATATAAGGTTTAGAACTGTTTCTAAGCTTGGGCTTTATCCTATAAATATTATACAGCTATATTTGACCTTTCTGTAATATTTTACAGAGTCGACAGCTCCCTTTTTCTTGAAGTTGTCTTTTCCCTGGACTGCTATAAAACCAACTTCTCCTGGTTTTCCTCCAGCCATTCAGATATTTCCTTCTTGGTTTTCTTCTTGGAAACTAAGATTTTTTTCCCTTGGCATTTCTCCATTTTTAAACCTCTTAAGTAACCATGTTTCCCAAGATCGTATTCGATCTTTAGAGATCTAATCGTCTCTAGCATACCGCAAACCCATAGCATAACCCACCATTTATAGGCAGATGACTTCCAAGTCTGTTATTGGAGCTCAGATCCTTCTCTTGAGCTACTCGGTCTATATACCCAACCATGGCAGCATCAGCAAAGATGGCTTAAAAACACAATTGTTGGGACTGAGCAGCAGCCATTGAAACAAATAGGGGGGTTTCCATTCACACAGGTGCCCACTTGGCCTCAACCATTTTCCAGCCCCAGGTCTAGGTGCAATCATCTCAGTGGGAAGAGTACAGACACTGGATCAGAGAGCTGGGTCAAATGATTTCTACTGCTTTTTAATTGTGTAAACTTGAGAAAGTTAACTCCAAGCAGACTTCATTTCCCCATCTTTAAGATAGAGATAGTGTATACTTTTAAGAATTTGTTATCTCGCAGCCTAATGTATGATTCTGGGATGTACATATGTTCTTGCTCTTTGTTAGATTTTATACATTTTCTTCTTGGAGTATTTTATTTTAAAGGGGGAAAGGGCTCCATACATACAATTATGACAATGTTAAGTGGTATTTTTCCAATATTTCATTTTAAATTACCTCTTCCCTACTGGTTTGATCCAGCTTGCTAGAACATGTATTGTAATGTCACCTTGGTAACCCAGCCTTCACTCCATTGGTTAGAATGTCCCAAGGTTGTCCATTATATTCCATCTCCTTTCTTACCCTCAAGAAAGCAAATGTCCACTATATTAGAATTAGCCTTTAACCCTTAACAATCTGTTACCCACATTTTAAAATTTGTTATGGGTTTTTTATTCCTAAACTGTTAAATAGACTTTTTTTTGCATGGAAGCAGATTTTTTTCCCCCACAGTTTTGCTCTGAAAGCCAAGCGTTTGTGGTCCATAGTTTTATGATCGAGAAGTATATTTCCTGTTGATAAAAGAAAGAATCCAAAGTTGCTTCCTTCCTTTCAGTATGCTTGCTTTAACAATTTAAGATGGGTAGGGAGATTGTCCCTCTGGAGTTGCTACTGTGCTCAAGCAATAAATAGATTGAAAAAAGAGGGTTTTAACCTGCCCTCTCCAATTGACATAAGCCAGATTTTTCTTCTTCTTACTACTCTGCCTTCTTAGGGAGTCTGGATTACCTGATCTCAGTTAAGAGATGATGATAGCCTTTCAGACCCTCAATATTAACTTTCCTGATGTCATTACTAAATCTGTTTGTTTGCTCTTATCCTAAGCTCTACAAAGCTGGGTGATCTACTGGTGTACATGATCTCTATCTCATTGCTCTTGAGAAAATCACTTTCTTCACTCACAGTTATTGGTATAATGAAAAATGGACATTAAACAAAATAAAAAATCAAGTTGAAAACAATGTTCCACTAGGATATGCCTCTGAATTACGTTAACATTATTAATATATCTATTCTCATTTCCTTGTAAATGTAGTCTACTCAGTGCTTTATTTCTAGTGATCTTTTCTTTTCCTAAATGAACATGTAAATTAAACTACATATATAATGGTCTCCAAATATGTATATATATGTATATATTTTTTTACCATTTGGTTACTTTAAATAGATATAAATTTGAAGCATAACATTGCTACTTGGTTGGATTAAATGTGATATTTCTTATACTCTAAGCCAGATTTTTTGTTTTGAAAAATTAAGTAGTACATAAAGGAAGTATAAGGCATACAAATGGCTAAGTATAAAATTGCTTTTGAAGTTTTCTGTATTATCGTGTCCTGTAATCTAGAGAAGAGAGTCAATGTGGAATCAGAGAAAGAGCATTGCTCTGTGAGTCAGCACATCTACAGTATCCCAGCTGGGCCATGCACCAGCTATGTGACCCTGAGCCATTCCAGTCACCTTCATAGGCCTCAGTGTCCTCACTAATAAAATGAGCATAGGCTGGCTGGATGTGGTGGCTTATGCCTGTAATCCCAGCACTTTGGGAGGCTGAGGCGGGCGGATCACTTGCGGTCAGGAGTTCGAGACCAGCCTGACCTACAGGTTGAAACCCTGTCTCTACTAAAAATAGAAAAATTATCTCGGCATAGTGACACGCACCTGTAATCCCAGCTACTTGAGAGGCTGAGGCAGGAGAATCTCTTGAACCCAAGAGGCAGAGGTTGCAGTGAGCCGAGATTGCACCATTGCATTCCAGCCTGGGTGACAGAGCAAGACTCCATCTCAATAAATAAATAAAAATAAAATAAGCATAGGCTAATAGCATATTTCGAGTTTACTGTAATAGTTATTATGAAGAACGAGCTAGTAGAACCGTAGAAAAATACTTCAACTTCAAAAAGAATTTGGAAAACTTGCAGAATTTCTTATAGAAACAATCCTTATTTCTATAAGGATGTTTGGCATAGGCCAGATGATATAATAAAGAGTTTTACAAGTCCAGAGAAGAATTATTATATAACCCTTACCATATAAGCTTCCTTATTGTTCAGAGGAACTGAATGTGTGTTGGAGCTAGCATATATGTCTTTTGCTTTCAGCATCTCAACTCTTCTCCGGCTTTAAGGAGTTTTCTTATAAACCTGTGAAACACAAAGCTATTGGCTACATTTGCTTTTCTACCATTGGCAGAAAATGCCCTTTCTGTTAGTTCTGTTTGTTGTCAGCATCGGCTGGAGAGAATTTCCTGTGTTTACTCTTTTCTTCTCTCTACACTTAACCTGTACTTGGAAGGCAGAATGATATTGTGAAAAGAGCACTAGACTGGTTGAGATCCTTGAAGTAGGTTCTAGACACAGTTCTATCAGTAACTAGCTCAGTAGCAGTTACACATCATTTAATTTATCTTTGCTTTATATTCGTAGAGTTGTAGAAGCTCCAGGTTTGAAAAGATAAACATCAACAATATAAGATAGTTGATTTTGGCCGGGCGCTGTGGCTCACGCCTGTAATCCCAGCACTTTGGGAGGCCGAGGCGGGCGGATCATAAGGTCAGGAGATCAAGACCATCCTGGCTAACACGGTGAAACCCCGTCCCTACTAAAAATACAAAAAATTAGCCGGGCAAGGTGGCGGGCGCCTGTAGTCCCAGCTACTCGGGAGGCTGAGGCAGGAGAATGGCGTGAACCCCGGGGGGCGGAGTGTGCAGTGAGCCGAGATTGCGCCACTGCACTCCAGCCTGGGCGACAGCGAGACTCCGTCTCAAAAAAAAAAAAAAAAAAAAGGTAGTTGATTTTACCTGTCCCTTAAAAAATAAAGACGTACTTAAATCTTTTAAACACCATCTCCAATGAAAGAATGTATAATAAAATAGACTTGGGAGTCAGAATTGAACTTAAATCCCTGTTTAGCTACTTACTACCTGTGTGACCTTGGGAAAATTATTTATATTCTCCATGCCCCAGGTTCTTCCCTCTAAAATGTAAATAATAATATGCCACATAAGGTTGTGATGAGGATCACATGAGATAATGCATGTAAAGCACTTAGTATGGGGCCTGACAAATGGTGAGATATTCAATAAATGGTTGATGATGACAATGGTGATGACGGTAATGATGATGGTAAAGAAAATAATAAAGATGATGTTGCTCAGACTCAATTTGAGCACTGATAGTGATGGACAACTATTACTATCTAAGATAGCACACTCTAATTTGTGAAATTATAATGGCTAGAAGTGTTTTCTTCTAGCTAACCAAAATTACATCTTCTTATCTCCAGATATTCTTTGTCCAAGTTCTGCCTTCTAGGATCATAACTGCCTTTTATACATTTGAAGATGGCTATCACATCCCCTACACTACCCGCCTGTTGTCATAACTCCCTTGATTGTTTTTCTTTTATTTTCTTCCTTCCAATTTCTTTCAATCAACTTCTATTTAACTATCGAATTCTTGTCATCGACCCCAAACCAACTCTTTTAATCAACATTGATATACTAAGATGTAGTAGTCTTCATTTCCAAGACACTTAGTAATTCTTCAGGTTAATATTCCTTTTCTGCATCTGAAGGAGACCAGAGGTCACTCAGGGCATGGGCCAGCCTTTATGTGTACCACAAATTCTGCTCATTTATTCTGCATCTGGGAGAAAACTCTATTTTATTTATGGTTACAGTGTACTTTACAAAGTTTATGGAGAATATAGGTTAGTAGTCCCAATCCAATGATGATTTTTAAATACAAACACTCATAACATTTTTAATTACCCTAAAGGGTTAGACTGGCTAATCAAATTTCATTTTAGTAACATCCCCCCTGAAAGTTGAGCCTTTTAAAATATTACACAACTCATCCAGAGAATAAGCCTGTGCAACAGAGAGACTGTAGTATTATTTTCTTCAACTTTACAGAGATATAAAACCAGAATTTTCTCAGGGACAATGACCAAATTGCTTCTAATTACAGGTATTTCCCAACCAACTGGCCAATGGATAGGTTTGTATATATCATGGCAGACTGGCCAATTTTGAAAACATATTCTCTCCTTTTATACAGAGTTGTCCTTTATACAGTTGAAGACAACTTTGTATCTCACTCATTTGCCTTGTATCATTGTACTTGCCTCATCCACCCTATCAGATCATAAGCTCTTGCAGGACAGAGAATTTCTCTTATTCTCCCTGGTGTGTCTTGTTCTGCCTAACATAGCACCCTGTTCCAAATGTCACTCAATAAATCTTGTTGAATGGAATTGAAATAAGGACTATAAAAGCTGAGTGAACAGGTGAGTTTAGTTCTGAAGGAGACAGAAGATACATATAGCCATATGGTGACATTGTATATTCTGAAGTTTTAAGAAATTTATATTCAAGTTTCCAATTTCTATTATTCATTTTCATCAGTTGCTTATAGATGGGTCAATTTTGATCATAGTAAGGGTCAAAATAATTCTCTAAATTATGTTAGAATTAAACATTTATTACCATTAAAGATAATTGAAATGCAATAATTATAATTGCATTTTTCACTTTTGTTTTCTTCACCCATTATTAGTGGTGATTATAGCATTGCTTAGGAATCAAAGATGACTAGTATTGATTCTTGTTGACAAAATTTCATTCAACCATTTGTTTCAACATTTATAGAAATACTTATTGAAAAGCCAGTCCCCCAAATGGATGTTTTAAGTATGTGAATAATTCTTCTCAGCTCTTCTGCACTAATTGTGCTATGATCTTTTTTTAATCCCTGTGATATTGTAATAATCCATAGTAAATCACACTTACACTCTTTTCTGTCTTAAAAGCAGGTAATTAAAGTAGGATATGACAGAGTGAGACAGAAAGAGAGAGAGAGAGAGACAGAGAAAGGGGGAAAGAGACACATACAGAGAGAAGGGAATTGGTCTCCACTTTTTCCTTTAATCCACATTCTGCCCAACACCTTCCTGCCATCAGGGATCAATTTGTCATCCCTTCAGACTGAGCTCCAGGCAGGATTGATTCTGAGAATTAATAATTGCTTGGATGATCTGGTTCAGGATCATTTTTCATCAGCACCTCTCAGAGGCTGGCTTATTCTATTTATTCAACATTCAACAATATATATTAAACACCTACCATGTATCAGACACTGTGCAACTTTAGGAAACAGGAACCTTTCTGTAGTGTGCCTGTATAATTTTTGGCTGCCCAGTATCCCTTTACAACTCTCAACAGCATCGTAATGTTTTGGGGGCACCATCTCTCTCTCATTTGTGTAGCTTTGCAGGGCAGAAGAGTCTAGGTGGGTGCCTCTTACCAGAGAGCTCAATGGGACTAGAGACTCTGAAGAAGGCATACAACCTCTGTTCAACCAGTCGCAAGGTCTTTACTGGTCTTTTGAATCTTCAGTAATTGAACTAAACACAGGAGTGACCTTGGCGTTCACTCATTGCAGCAGTGGTATGATGACGTGAATGTCCATAATATGAAGCCACTGCTAAAGTTTCTCTTTCTCGGCCCTCCATACTCCCTTTCCTGTCCAGAACAGAGCCTGTACCTCTGACTTTCTGTCAGTTCTATGAATATATTAATTCGCTCCCATATTCTTCTAATACATTTCCTGTGTTTAAGTTAGGCAGAATTTGTTTCGGCCAAGGGCACTCAGTGATGCACCTTGGCCCACAGCTAGTGACCATTCCAGCATCCCAAAAACTCCAAGGACCAGGCATTGTTTAGATTAGCTGAAACTATTGAAGTTCACCTGGTTTGTATTCATATCTGAGCCCACCCAAATTGTCCTAGACTCTGGGTGGTGAGAGCTCAGAGCTTTACATGCTATTTCATTGACATCATATGAAAATTTAGGCCATTACTTATTTTCAGCAAAGAAGATAAAAAGGAGCTCTGTGTCATAAACAACTACCAGCAGAGGGAAGGAGGGAGAGATGAGGATATACCTTACAGGCCTGTGCCAAAGGAAAGAGCAGCAAAACCTAGCTCAGCCCCAGGATGAGAGAGGCCATAGGAAGTGAACACAGATATCCCAATATTTTCCAGATAAGAAAGAGAGAAAACGGGAAAATGAAATTCCCACAGGTTTGAGAGGGTTGTGTGGGAATGTAAAGGAGATAACTGCCAACATTCAGTGACATGCTCCAGGCCTTATCCCAGGGGAACCCATGAGACTAATCGTGCTTTCTCAGGAACACTCACGTCCACAAATCTTGGCTCCACTTATCTGCCCACACACATGCTGGAAGGCCATCTTTGTCCCAGGCCAGATCCTAGAGGGTTTATAGGACAGGGTTATCCATGCCTCTGTGTGTGTGTGTGTGTGTGTGTGTGTGTGTGTTGTGAGTGTGTAAGGAGAGAGACACACACACAACTAAGTTCTAACTTTGTCAGGACATCTTCTTGTTAGAGAGAAAACCCTCTTTGGAATGTCTTATTCAGTCTCCCTAAATCTCCTCTTCCCCTCGGCCCCTCCTATTATCTACATGTTTACTCTCCCTGCTCCTCCAAACCCAGTGTAATGGGCGCTTCTTTAACTGTGCATTTTGATCCTGTCTCCAGACCTTTCCTTTACCCTTTTTTGGGGGGGGGGGACTTAGATATACACAATCCTTCTTATTTCTTCTGCAAACTGAATAATTATCCTAGTGTTTTGTTCAGTAAGAAAGCTATTCTGGAAATCTAATTTTCCTTCCAAGAGTTGCATAACAAATTTGGGAGCTTCAAACATCTGTAATCCTAAGAAAATTTTAGGGATTTTTTATAAACCCCAAACTCAGACATACACAATTTTAAAAACCATAAAGTAAGTTTGCAAAGTGAATGTCTTCTCATTCTAGGTATTTTTATCTCTCCAGTACAGTTTCGCAGGAGTGTTTCCTTACTAGTCTTTTCAAAGTACTTCTTGCAGTTACTGATTTTCAGGCTTAGTGTCTTTTCAAAGATGCTTTTCTGGGGACTGTTGATTTCAGGCTGTTTCAACTGCATGAGTTATGCAAGTGTGATAACTTTTTCTCCTTCTAAAAAGAGATGCTTCAGCCTATTTTTTTGTGCTCATAATAAAAGCAAAAGATAAAGACCAGCGTTGGGGATTAGTGTAGACTTTGCAGAGATAGGAAGAGCTAAGAAAATTTATATCCCAAATCAATAGCACAATCAAAGCTAGGAATAGAGGACGGATGATAAAAATGAAGCTTCAAGTTAGGCAAATAATTACATCTTTATTGCATTTATAATTACATTTTTATTAACATTACCCTTTTATTTGCTTCTTCAGATATTTAGGGAAACACAAAAAGTTATTCTGACTTTAGGAGTAAGAAGTTATGTAAGATCTAGCTAATACAATGTGTCTGCTGCATGAAACAAGTATTTATTGAATTTTGAAAGTTCTCTTTTTGTCAAGTGATATTAGTTCCCCAGTAAGTGTGTTGCACTGTGGACTCTTGCTGAGTTTGAGAAATTTAGAATCTAAGGGGAATTTAAAATTTAACTCCTATTTTTAAATACAATCTGTGCATGTGTATATATATACATAAACACATATTTAAATAAAACCATAAACATATCTGAGGTTAAATACACATAAAGCAAAATTTGATGAATTTCTATGCATCACTGAATTCCCTGTTGTCTCTTGGAAGTAAAGTGTCTGTTTCTAATAAACTTATTGATATGAATGCCAAATGAAACAAAATGTCATAGGCAAGACAAAGAACTGATTGAGGAGTTGGTTGACTGTTTACCAGTGTGTTTTTTTTTTTTTTTTTATCTCCAGTATTACTGCTATTAATGAAGAACATGTGTCCTCTCACACTTGATTGTGGGAAACTTTATTACTAGAGGTAGAAAGAGCATAGAGATGTACCTCTGAGCATGGCTTCCCTCTTCTCTGTTGACCAGCAGAACTAATCTCTTGGTTTGTCTCTTTTCCATGGTAGCCCTGACAAAGTGGGCTATAACCCTCCATAAATCATGGGATGATTGTAGTTTTACAATCAAGGTCTGTATCAGGTAAGACTCATTCAGCAGCAAGTAATACAATTCTCAACTAACAGAGACTTCTAAAATAAAGATTTTTAATTTTAAAATAAAGGACTTCTCACTTCTCACAGAGTGAGAAATCTTAGAGTAGATGGTTCTAGATTTGGTACAGAAACCCAAAGTTCATATCAAGGAACCAGCACTTTTCTATCTTTCTGCTCTCTCATCTTCAGTTTTTTTATGTTTTAGTCTTCAAGTTACAAAGTGGCACTGAGGAAGCATTACGGCCTCTGGCCACCGTGTTTGATTCAGTGAATACCTGGAGGAAAAGGGCTTTTGTGTGTGTGTTAGGAAAACAAGTCTTTCCCAGAAGATCCTTATTAGACTTCCTTTTGTGGCTCATAGGCAAGAATTGGGTCACATGTTCCTCTACTCTCATAGCTGCCTGGAATACTGGCAAAAAATGATTAACTAGCAAAGGATAGGGCTGCTATGATTTGCTTAGACAAACCAGGAGTCATCTTTACAGGCTGGGCACATCGACTCCCTTCCACGCTACAACATTGGCAGGAAAAGCGGGAAAGGCTGTTGCGCAATTAAGTTTTCCAATTTCCCAGGCTGTGACTTCCATGACATCTCCCTCAGTCTCCTGTGACTCTGCAGTGGGCATCCTCAGAACCTGACTCTTGCTTCACCTTGGGTTCTAGCCCTCCAAGCAAAAAACCTCCCAATCATCGATTCATAGAGAAAGGCAGCTTATTTCTTGTGACTAGGTCTAACTTACCATCCCAAGGTTTGTCACATATAATTCACAGCTTCATATTTCTGTGCTTCTCCAGCTATTTTTAAATTTTAAACCTAAGAGGTTCCAGCTTCAAAATATGCCTTTATTGGGCTGAGTACCGTGGCTCACGCCTGTAATCCCAGCACTTTGGGAGGCCAAGGCGGGTGGATCACCTGAGGTCAGGAATTTGAGACCAGCCTGGCCAACATGGCGAAACCCCCATCTCTACTAAAAACACCAAAATTAGCCTGGCGTGGTGGTGGGTGCCTGTAGTCCCAGCTACTTGGGAGGCTGAGGTAGGAGAATCGTTTGGACCTGGAAGGCAGAGGTTACAGTGAGCCAAGATAGCACCACAGCACTCCAACCTGGGCAACAGAGTGAGATTCCATCTCAAGAGAAAAAAAAAAGAAAAAAGAAAAAAGAAAAAAATGCCTTTATCCTTTTTTCCCTCCACTATGGTTGCTTTTATCTGGGTACGAAATAAAAGGAGATACAAGTCTGTTGCTTATCTTCTCTAATTTCTGGACCCATAAGCCTCTGCCAGAGGATAGCTTGTGATGTATGGCATCTATGTTCCCTTGTTTCTGCTATTAAATACGCTGCTGGCTGTTCTACCTCTCCCATAAATGTTTAACTAATGTGTATAATGGTTCTTTCAGAATGGGTTTTTCATTATGGAAGTTATTTTTCACCAAAGGTGTGTCACTATTTCTAGAATAGTATTTTAGTATGTTTTAAACTCAATTTTTGTACTAGTTTCTTCACAGAAGAAAGGGGGTAGTTTTTAGACATTTTACATAATTTATATGTTGGAAGGTATGCAACTATTCATTTAGACTTTATTTACACTTAACAACTGATTTGAAAACAATTGAAAATGCAGATAAACTGGTGTTATTTATGTTCATGTTTGAGCATACTAGGTGATGTTTACAAGTCAGAAATTTACCCTCAAAATAATATTGTTGTTACAGATAATGAACAATATTGAATACTCCTGCAATCCAAGATGAAGAAAAATGAAGTTAATGAAATTAATTTCTCAGTTTTGAAACAGTTGCTTCTTTTAGTTTTTTTTTAATATTAGAGGTCTTTTTATGTGGAGTTTAATTTTTCTTTCTTCTCCCATTTTTAGTCATCTTTAATTTAGCAATAATTGCTAAATGAGTAATTGTCACAATAAATTGCCCCATTGTCTTGATCATCTAAAATCCAATACAGGTGTCAATTGGTTCACAATAGGGAGGTTCAGAAAGTGGCTAGTGTTGAAGAGAGAAATATGACTATAGAGGAAGAGCCCAAATTGCCCACTATAAAAATTTAACTTAATATTTTTAAAAATTAAAGCTCTTGTAATATGGGGAGGGCCCATCTGTATCCCCTATTACTCCACAAAGGAAGCACTCAAAAATACCTCCAGAAAGGAAAGAAAGATAACAGTTATGCTTCCTTGGGCCTGAAGTCTTGTCTGGCAGATCTTTATAATGAAATGAAGGCGGAGACAACAAGTCATTTTTTTTTAATTTGCTTCATTTTCTTAAAAGCCATATACCCCAAGATACCATAGAACCGAGTAAAATAGCTTAGATACTGATTGAAAAGGCAGACTCAGAGTCTAGAAATGCAAAATAACAACCCATATGCCAAACCACTTGCATTGTAAGGCTGGATACTTCTGAAGGAAGATTTTAAAGGCGACAGAGAATTCCAAATTTGGAACCCACAGAGACATCTGGTATCTTAGAACTTTCCATTTTCCTTTGGCAGATATTTCAGTGAATTTCCCACCTTGGTCAGAGTGTATAATTATTTTTTAAGCTTATTCTAATTTTAACATATTCTATTTCACTGTTACTGTGAAATGGCCCTACTGTCAGGACCAACCATTTAATTTTAACACTTAGGTCATTTAGCAATTTCTTAGAAGAGCCAAATAAGGGGGTGGAATTTAATTAACACAATAGGTACACTATTGACTTTTGTGGGTATTTGTGGCATTTATGTATATTTCCAACTTTTGGTCTTCAAACAGATGCATGTGAAATAAATAACAGATGAATCAAAATACAGAAATGGCATTGCATTCCAAATGGCAATGTTCATCATCAGTGCTCATGAAGTGGCTCTACCAAAACGGTCTTAAAAGGTATCATCATGATAACACTTGCTTCTTGCAAACCATTTGTTAATGGCTGGTCTGTGTCTACTTGAAGTATTCATTAGTTTGGATCCACATTTGCCCAATGTGGGTAGTAGGATGGGATGGGAACTTGAGGAGATTGATGAGGCTTTATTACTGTGAAGAAATGTACTAACACGTGCATACAAGGATTACTGAGCAGCAATGAGGGCTCAGTTGAAATTGCATAGTATGGATATTTAATAGTGTCAACCATATCGATTTAATGACTCAAACAGTATCATAGAATTGTGTCCATTTTAGAGTGGAAAGGGATCATCTTATCCAACTCTCTCAATTGGCAAGTGGGAAAACTGAGGCATAAATAAGCTAAGTAAGTGGCCCAAGTCTACATAGTAAATGGCAGGGCAATTCTAATTTCTAGACCTAAATGTAAGACCTGAAACAATAAAACTCCTAAAAGAAAACATAAGGGAAATGGTTCAGGACATTGGTCTGGGAAAATATTATATGAATAAGACCTCAAAAGCACAGGCAACAAAAGCAACAATAAACAAATGAGATTATATCAAGCTAAAAATCTCTGCACAGCAAAGGAAACAATCAACAGAGTGAAAAGACAACCTCCAGAAGGGGAGAACATATTCGTAAACTACTAAGCTGACATAATTAGTATGTAGATACTATACATGTCTACATATCTAATATGTTCAACAGCAAAAAAGCAAGGTGATTAAAAAATGGGCAAATGATCTGAACAGACATTTCTCAAAAGAAGACATACAAATGGCTAACAAATATATGAACGAATGCTCAATATCACTAATCATTGGGGAAATGCAAATCAAAACCACAACGAGGTATCATCTCATCCCAGTTAAGATAGCTATTATCAAAAAGACAAAAAGTAACAAATGCTGACAAGAATGTGGAGAAAAGGGAACTCTTATAAACTGTCATTGTTAATGTAAACTAGTACAGCCACTATAGAGAGCAGTATGGAGGTTGCCCAAAAAACGAAAAATAGAACTAACCATATGATCCAGTAATTCCACTACTGGGAATTCATCCAAAGGAAAGTAAATCATTATATTGAAGAAACAACTGCACCCCTGTGTTTATTGCAGCACTATTCACAATAGCCAAGATATGGATTCAACGTAGGTGCCCAACAGCAGATGAATAGATAAAGAAAATGTGATATATAATCACAATGGAATACTATTCAGCCATATGAAAGAATGAAATTCTGTCATTTGTTGCAACATGGATGGAAATGGGGTACATTATGTTAAGTGAAATAAGCCAGGAACAGAAAGTTAAACACCACATGTTCTCACTCATCTGTGAAAGTTAAAAAAAGTTCATTGCATAGAAGTAAAAAGTAGAACAGAGGATACTAGAGGCTGGTAAAGGTAGGGGGAAGGGAGGAATAGGGAGATATTTCTTTGAAGGGTGCAAAATTACAGCTAGATAGGAGGAATAAGTTCTAGTGTTCTATAGTGCTGTAGGATGAGTATAGTTAAAAATAATGTATTCTATAGCTTCAAATGGCTAGAAGGAGGATATTGAATAGTCCCAGCACAAAGAAATGATAAAAGTTTGAAATGATAGGTATGCTGATTACCCTGATCTGATCAGTATATATTATATGTATTGACACATCACTATGTACTCCATGAATATGTACTATTATTATTTGTCATTTTTAAAAAAATAAAAAATAATGAATATTACGTTAGAAAGACACGGTGGCCATACAATATTCAAAGATGTTTGAAAAATCTAGGCTTGCAGAACTATAGATTGGTCCCGCTGGAACTTTCTCTATTAGTGAATTTCACTGACAGTATACTTACGCTTCTTATTCAAAAGGAAGCACAGCATAAAGTTACTGGTATTCAGATTCCCTCATTTTATCATTAGTAAAGCAAAAGTAATAAATTGTTTCTTAGGCAAAGTAGGTTAAAGAATTATTGGTCTTTTTATTCTTCTGCATTTTTTATGGGGTAAATTCGCAATTAGTAAGGATTATTAAAGTCTCAAATTGCCAGTTTGGGGGCTGAAAACTGCTAGGAGCCCTGCTATATTTGCTTTGTTTTTTTGAACCTCCTGAAGTTGTAATAAGGCTTTATAATTTGGCAAGTGTAATGGCTGGTCAAAATACAACCACTTAGTGCCTCTTACCTTACATCTGTCCCTGTTCATACTTTTATATCACCTGTTTGGCTCTGGTGTATACTTAGAGACAGTCTAGTGTGACTGATCCTTTGATATAAAACCTAGTTTATTTCCTAGAATGAGATATCCTGTGGGCTAAATAAAGTGAAAACAATGATGGTAATCAATGCTATATTAAGACATGACTCAGAGACTCCCTTGTAGTAGCACTTAATATAGAAAGATGTTTTAAATATGGAAAATATTTTACAACATAGATAGCCCATTCAATATCCCTTTAATTAAAAATTTAAAAATTTATTCATCATTTCTGGATATTGTGATCATAAACCTTTTTATATATTTTATGTGTATATTTCAAAATGTCTACAAAAATAAGTCACATTTTAAGAAAAATACAAATGTCCTTTTTACTCAAAGAATAGCCAAGTAACCGTAAAAATTAAAGCATAAAAAAGAAGTCTCCTTATTCAATGTAACAAAGTTAAAACATATTGTGGCTTAGAGGATTTGGATGTTTTTAAAAGGAGGATGGTGGTAGAAGTAAACTTTTATACTTTCCTGATTGGTGTTACAGAGAATAATGAGAAGAGATAACAAGTAAGAAAATACATAAACAAAATTACAATAGAAATGATTTTAAGGATAATAAGCATTCAAATGCTATTGTCATCTATAATGATAAGGTACCTCTTTTTTAATGTGGCAACTGAGTTGATACTGAACTTTCAACACACAGGGAGTACAAATAACCTAACCATCAGATGGAAGAATTAAACAGAATAATAATACTTTACATTTATGAAGCATTCTCTTGCGTTTATTTCCTCACATAGAATAGTTTACGCAGACTGTGTTTTTATAGGTCGTAACTGATTTAATACTTACGGTGTTATAAGATGAGCAAGGCAGTCATTTTTTATGCCCATTCAATACAGAAGAGGAAACATACTCCAAGAGGCAAAATGATTTGCTCAGGCTGAGATGGTGGCTTGGTGTCTTTTCATAGCTTGATGGTAAAATACCTGTTTGTCGAGCTACATCTTTGTAGATGGATTTAATTTTTGCCCTTGTGTAATCTCTTCTTGTCCACTGAAACATTACCCTTGCTCTTGATGTAGTTATGTTTCTAAACACTAATTTATTATTCAAACTCTTTTGATAAAAAGAAAAGGCTATGTTTAAAATATTTTAACAATCAGAATAATATGGGTAGTAACCAATCTGAATGGTTGCTGGATCAGGCACTGCTTCATCAGGATGTCCCACAATCAAAGGTCATGGCCGTATGGGTGTGTATCAGCTGCAGATAAGTGCTGTGACAGAAAACCCAGCTCACACTGTTTTAGGGAATTCAGGAGAATTTTTTGACATACATAACTGAGCTGTCCAGATATGTCCTTATTTAGACACAACAGGAATCAGGGGTGCAAATGATGTTACGTCTTTCTCCACCTCTTAGTTCTTTTCTCTGCACTGACTCCATTTTCAGGAGGCCTTTCCCTCCCTGTGGTACAAGGCGACTTACGGTGGCTCCGAATGAATTTACATCCTGTTTCCTTGGCAAAAGTGAGTGTCTCTCTATTGGTTGCCTCGGCCAATGCCTTGGACAACTTTAAATTGGCTGTGATTGTTGTAAGCACTGGGGATGGCAGTCATCTCCACCCAAACTGTTAAACTAGAAATGGAGGAGGAGAGCTCCTGAAGGAAAACCTGTGGCTGTAACCCAGAGAAGGGAGAAAAGCGACAGGCAACGACTATAAATGTCTGCTCTACTATCTCTTTCATCAGAACTTTCATACAACTTTATTACGTTAAATACTTTTTTAAATTATAAAATAAAGGTATTCTCATTTGGACAATTTTAAAGATGAAGTAAAATATAAGAACAAAATCTATAAAGAAAAATGTAAAAATAAGACATGCAGTTGAGTTGGAATTAAGGGTTTATTTCTAATTCATTATGACACTGAAGCGCAGCCTGTGGAATAGAAGTTTTCCTAGGATCATTTACTAGGTTCCTAACTCCGAGAGGCCCAAGACTCTACCTTGTGTTCTCAGATAATCTCACGCAGAATTGAAGTGAAATCACAGCTTGTCTAGAGGAACAGCAGAAATCTTCAGGGCAATAGCTGCTGGTTTTGGTGTCACTCTCCTTGTAGGGTTTCAATGTTCAATGAGTTTTGAAGACCTGCAGATTCTTTGCTTTTGTGCTAGTGCGAGAATGTGCTCAAATATTTTCTTTATATTGTATCCAGCATTTAGTTGTTTCAATCAGTGGATCATTTAGTGTATGGAATCTGCCATAATGTTAAAAAATAAGGTGATCTTTTGTTCTTTTGTCTTGTTTGCTGTTCTATCTTTTATTCCTGACCTATTTCAAACATAGTTATTTCATAGTTTATATCCAGTAATTCTGATATCTGAAATTCTTGGCAGTCTAATTCCGTATGGTGCTGTTGTTTCTGTTGACCCTTGTCTGGGTGAGTCTTGTTTTTTCATGTATTTTGCAAGTTTGGATTGTGAAGTCATGGTTACTGGGACTTTGTATGTGAGAATCTTGGGAGGAAGCCATCCTACATGGAAGATTAAGACTTGCCTTTGTCAGGAAGCTCAGCCTTTTTTCATTCTGGGACCACTTTAAGCTAATGTGTTGGTTTGGGGTTTCTGGGATGACACATGTTGCATAAAATCAAATAGCCTTCCCAGGTCTGTGATGTGGTCCCAGCTGCAACTCCTGCCTTGCCAGGTCACAAGGCCTTTCTTGTTTCCTGTTGCTCCAGTGGCCACTAACACCTGAACCTCTTGGTTTCAAGATTAGGAAAGGCTCCAAGATCAGCCATGGCTTTAGCATCAGTCCACTTGCCACCCTCCCTTCCAGCAATCTGGTCTGTTTAGCTTTCTATTTCCCTTCAATTTCTCCTTGTTTATTTCCTTTCCCTTTTAAATTTTAGAATGAACAGATTTATCTGTTCAATTCCTCTCATCCGAGTATCAGCTCTTAGACTCTAATTTTTATCCTATTGTTCTGCTGTATTTTGAATAATTTATTTCTGCTTTTAGTTTTACTTTTTAAAAATTCTGCTCTCCACTGGTTTGTTTTATTGTTATCTTTGTTGTTATTCTTTGTTTTTCTTATTTATTTTCTTCAGGTTTTCATTTGCAAGTTTTCTGTGTCTTTCTCTTTTGTATGTCTTATGTTAGCATGTACTGGACATTTTTAGTTAGCATATATTATATATTTCTAAGTTAATTCAATAATAAATGTATGTTATAATAATAAAAGATGAAAACATAATAAGTGATAAAAAATAAGTGACAGTAAAAAAAATAAAAGATAAAAAGGGACAAATCATAAAACCTACTCTCATTGAAGGAGGAAAAAAGATTCATTATCTACAAATAGTAGATATAATATTCAAGAAATTTAAACTATTTATATATATATATCTGATATATTTCTTCCTTTCTGTCATTCTTTTTGTTGCCTTATTTATTTTGTTTTCAGACTTTTGCTATGTAGTTTAACTATTTAGACTATATTTTGTGACTGACAAGAATATGAACATTAAAAAATATATCACCTTGACATTTGAAAATAAAGATTTTTACATGGTTAACTCTATAACTATTTGTTCGAGCCAATTAATTGTATTATTTATTTTCTATCTTTTTTAATATATCAAAGGTAGAAAGAAGTATATTTTAAAAAGTCTCTCTCAACAACTGTATTTTTGTCTTTTTTTCTCGTATTTCAACTACTTGTGTGTGTGTGTGTGTGTGTGTGTGTGTGTGTGTGTGTGTGTATGGGGTTATACCATGCAGTCTGTTAAGGTTCATTATTTTCAAATCTTTATGGAGTATTGTGCCTTTTAATCATCTAAATCTTGAATTACATAGTATGTTACCTAAACCAATTATTCAATTTCTATTTATAGACAATTATAAATGTTTGAAGTAAATCTTTTAATTTTTCCCTATGAAAAATGGGGACTTCAAACCACTTTTACTTACTTTCATTCATTTAATCAAAAAATAATTGTTGATACATATCATATTTCTCTAGGCACTGTTAAAGTTGTAAAAAATAAAGATAAAAGTCCTTACCTTCTTGGAGCTTAATTCTAATGGGGGAAACAGGAAATAAAACAAAGTAATAAAACAGGTAAATAAAACAAACTTTCATGGATTTAAAGAAATACATTTTTTTTTGGCCACAACTTATCATCTTTGAGATAAGGATGCCTCTTAATAACTGATGATATATCATAGTTTAGTTGGACATGTCTTCTTTGGTATAATATTTTTAAAATGGTAAGCCTTGTAATTAGTGACATCTTAAATGAAATATCGTAGTGTGTCGAATAAATGTTATGGGGAAAATGAGGCATATAAGGGGGATGGGAATTTCTGGATAAGTTTTGCATTAAACATATTTTGATTGATCTATAATATTTGTACATATTTTGGGGGTACATGTGATATTTTGATAACTGCATGCAATGTATAATGATTATATCAGGTTAGCTGGGCTATCCATTACCTTGAACATTTATCATAAATATTTCATTTTTAATAGGATGGTCAAGGGATGTTTTCCTGAGAAGGTAACTTTGAACAAAGACCTAGAGATGAGAGACTGAGTAGGACCATAGTATTAGTCCGTTTTCATGCTGCTGATAAAGACATACCTGAGACTGGGCAATTTACAAAAGAAAGTGGCTTAAGGGACTTACAGTTCCATGTGACTGGGGAAGACTCACAATCATGTTGGAGAGCAAGGAGGAGCATGTCAGGTCTTACATGGATGGCAGCAGGCAAAGAGAGAAAGCTTATGCAGGGAAACTCCCCCTTATAAAACCATCAGATCTCGTGAGACTTATTCACCATCATGAGAACAGCACAGGAAAGACCTGCTCCCATGATTCAATTGCCTCCCACCAGGTGCCTCCCATGACACATGGGAATTCAAGAAGAGATTTGGGTGGGGACACAGCCAAACCATATTATTCTGCCCCTGCCCCTCCCAAATCTTATGTCCTCACATTTCAAAACCAATCATGCCTTCCCTTCAGCCCCGCAAAGTCTTAACTCATTTCAGAATTAACTCAAAAGTTCACAGTCCAAAGTCTCATCTGAGACAAGAGCCTGTAAAATCAAAAGCAAATTAGTTACTTCCTAGATGCAATGGGGATACAGGCATTGGGTAAATACAGCCATTCCAAATAAGAGAAATTGGCCACAACAAAGGGGCTACAGGCCCCATGCAAGTCCAAAATCCAGTAAGGCAGTCAAATCTTAAAGCCCCAAAATGATATCCGTTGACTCTATGCCTCACATCCAGGTAACGCTGATGCAAGAGGTAGGCTCCAAGGCCTTGGGCAGCTCTGCTCCTGTGGCTTTGTAGGGTATAGCCCCGCTCCTGGCTGCTGTCACAGGCTGGCATTGAGTGTCTGTGGCTTTTGCAGGCTGTCAGTGGATCCTCCATTCTGGGGTCTGGGTGATGGTGGCCCTTTTCTCACAGATTCACTAGGCAGTGCCCCAGTAAGGACTCTGCATGGGGGCTCCCACCCCACATTTCCCTTCTGCACTATCCAAGCAGAGGTTCTCCATGAGGATCCTGCCCCTACAGCAAACTTCTGCCTGGGCATCCAGGCATTTCCATACATCTTCTGAAATCTAGGCAGAGGTTCCCAAACCTCAATTCTTGACTTCTGTGCACTTGCAGGCTCAACACCACATGGAAGCTGCCAAGGCTTGAGGCTTGCCCCCTCTGAAGCTGTGGCCTGAGCTCTGTGTTGTTCCCTTTCAGCCATGCCTGTGACACAGGGCACCAAGTTTCTAGGCTGCACACAGCATGGGGACCCTGGGCCTGGCCTGGGCTCTTTTTTGGTTCCATATGAACTTTAAAGTAGTTTTTTCCAATTCTGTGAAGAAAGTCATTGGTAGCTTGATGGGGATGGCATTGAATCTATAAATTACCTTGGGCAGTATGGCCATTTTCATGATATTGATTCTCCCTACCCATGAGCATGGAATGTTCTTCCATTTGTTTGTATCCTCTTTTATTTCATTGAACAGTGGTTTGTAGTTCTCCTTGAAGAGGTCCTTCACATCCCTTGTAAGTTGGATTCCTAGGTATTTTATTCTCTTTGAGGCAATTGTGAATGGGAGTTCACTCATGATTTGGCTCTCTGTCTGTTATTGGTGTATAAGAATGCTTGTGATTTTTGCACATAGATTTTGTATCCTGAGACTTTGCTGAAGTTGCTTATCAGCTTAAGGAGATTTTGGGCTGAGATGATGGAGTTTTCTAGATATACAATCACATCATCTGCAAACAGGGACAATTTGACTTCCTCTTTTCCTAATTGAATACCCTTTATTTCTTTCTCCTGCCTGATTGCCCTGGCCAGAAATTCCAACACTATGTTGAATAGCAGTGATGAGAGAGGGCATCCCTGTCTTGTGCTGGTTTTCAAAGGGAATGCTTCCAGTTTTTGCCCATTCAGTATGATATTGGCTGTGGGTTTGTCATAAATAGCTCTTATTATTGTTAGATACATCCCATCAATACCTAATTTATTGAGAGTTTTTAGCATGAAGGGCTGTTGAATTTTGTCAAAGGCCTTTTCTGCATCTATTGAGATAATCATGTGGTTTTTGTCTTTGGTTCTCTTTATATTCTGGATTATGTTTATTGATTTGCATATGTTGAACCAGCCTTGCATCCCAGGGATGAAGCCCACTTGATCATGGTGGATAAGCTTTTTGATGTGCTGCTGGATTCGGTTTGCCAGTATTTTATTGAGGATTTTTGCATCGATGTTCATTAGGGATATTGGTCTAAAATTCTCTTTTTTTGTTGTGTCTCTGCCAGGCTTTGGTATCAGGATGATGCTGGCCTCATAAAATGAGTTAGGGAGGATTCCTTCTTTTTCTATTGATTGGAATAGTTTCAGAAGGAATGGTACCAGCTCCTCTTTGTACCTCTGGTAGAATTCGGCTGTGAATCCGTCTGGTCCTGGACTTCTTTTGGTTGGTAAGCTGTTAATTATTGCCTCAAATTCAGAGCCTGTTATTCGTCCACTCAGGGATTCAACTTCTTCCTGGTTTAGTCTTGGGAGGGTGTATGTGTTGAGGAATTTATCCATTTCTTCTAGATTTTCTAGTTTATTTGTGTAGAGGTGTTTGTAGTATTCTCTGATGGTAGTTTGTATTTCTGTGGGACTGGTGGTGATATCCCCTTTATCATTTTTTATTGCATCTATTTGATTCTTCTCTCTTTTCTTCTTTATTAATCTTTCTAGCGGTCTATCAATTTTGTTGATCTTTTCAAAAAATCAGCTCCTGGATTCATTGATGTTTTGAAGGGTTTTTTGTGTCTCTATCTCCTTCAGTTCTGCTCTGATCTTAGTTATTTCTTGCCTTCTGCTAGCTTTTGAATGTGTTTGCTCTTGCTTTTCTAGTACTTTTAATTGTGATGTTAGGGTGTCAATTTTAGATCTTTCCTGCTTTCTCTTGTGGGCATTTAGTGCTATAAATTTCCCTCTGCACGCTGCTTTAAATGTGTCCCAGAGATCTTGTATGTTGTGTCTTTGTTCTTGTTGGTTTCAAAGGACATCTTTATTTCTGCCTTCATTTCATTATGTACCCAGTAGTCATTCAGGAGCAGGTTTTTCAGTTTCCATATAGTTGAGTGGTTTTGAGTGAGTTTCTTAATCCTGAGTTCTAATTTGATTGCACTGTGGTCTGAGAGACAGTTTGTTATAATTTCTGTTCTTTTACATTTGCTGAGGAGTGCTTTACTTCTAACTATGTGGTCAGTTTTGGAATAGGTGTGGTGTGGTGCTGAGAAGAATGTATATTCTGTTGATTTGGGGTGGAGAGTTCTGTAGATGTCTATTATGTCTGCTTGGTGCAGAGCTGAATTCAATTCCTGGATATCCTTGTTAACTTTCTGTCTCGTTGATCTGTCTAATGTTGACAGTGGGGTGTTAAATTCTCCCATTATTATTGTGTGGGAGTCTAAGTCTCTTTGTAGGTCTCTAAGAACTTGCTTTATGAATCTGGGTGCTCCTGTATTGGGTGCATATATATTTAGGATAGTCAGCTCTTCTTGTTGAATTGGTCCCTTTACCATTACGTAATGGCCTTCTTTGTCTCTTTTGATCTTTGTTGGTTTAAAGTCTGTTTTATCAGAGACTAGGATTGCAACCCTTGCCTTTTTTTGTTTTCCATTTGCTTGGTAGATCTTCCTACCTCCCTTTATTTGGAGCCTATGTGTGTCTCTGCATGTGAGATGGGTTTCCTGAATACAGCACACTGATGGGTCTTGACTCTTTATCCAATCTGCCAGTCTGTATCTTTTAATTGGAGCATTTAGCCCATTTACATTTAAGGTTAATATTGTTATGTGTGAATTTGATCTTGTCATTATGATGTTAGCTGGTTATTTTGCTCATTAGTTAATGCAGTTTTTTCCTAGCCTTGATGGTCTTTACATTTTGGCATGTTTTTGCAGTGGCTGGTACTGGTTGCTCCTTTCCATGTTTAGTGCTTCCTTCAGGAGCTCTTGTAAGGCAGGCCTGGTGGTGACAAAATCTCTCAGCATTTGCTTGTCTTTAAAGTATTTTATTTCT
Source organism: Homo sapiens (assembly GCF_000001405.40). Taxonomy (NCBI): domain Eukaryota; kingdom Metazoa; phylum Chordata; class Mammalia; order Primates; family Hominidae; genus Homo; species Homo sapiens. Next base: position 77,263,243 of record NC_000012.12, read on the forward strand.
TCTTCACTTATGAAGCTTAGTTTGGCTGGATATGAAATTCTGGGTTGAAAATTCTTTTCTTTAAGAATGTTGAATATTGGCCCCCACTGTCTTCTGGCTTGTAGAGTTTCTGCCAAGAGATCAGCTGTTAGTCTGATGGGCTTCCCTTTGTGGGTAACCCCTCCTTTCTCTCTGGCTGTCCTTAACATTTTTTCCTTCATTTCAACTTTGGTGAATCTGACAATTATGTATCTTGGAGTTGCTCTTCTTGAGGAGTATCTTTGTGGCATTCTCTGTATTTCCTGAATTTGAATGTTGGCCTGCCTTGCTAGATTGGGGAAGTTCTCCTGGATCCTGCAGAGTGTTTTCCAACTTGGTTCCATTCTCCCCGTCACTTTCAGGTACACCAATAGATGTAGATTTGGTCTTTTCACATAGTCCCATATTTCTTGGAGGTTTTGTGCATTTCTTTTTATTCTTTTTTCTCTAAACTTCTCTTCTTGCTTCATTTCATTCATTTGATCTTCAATCGCTGATACCCTTTCTTCCAGTTGATCAAATCGGCTACTAAAGCTTGTACATTCGTCACGTAGTTCTCATGCCATGTTTTTCAGCTCCATCAGGTCCTTTAAGGACTTCCCTGCATTGGTTATTCTAGTTAGCCATTCGTCTAATCTTTTTTCAAGGTTTTTAACTTCTTTGCGATGGGTTCGAACTTCCTCCTTTAGCTCGGAGAAATTTGACCGTCTGAAGCCTTCTTCTCTCAACTTGTCAAAGTCATTCTCCGTCCAGCTTTGTTATGTTGCTGGTGAGGAGCTGCATTCCTTTGGAGGAGGAGAGGTGCTCTGATTTTTAGAATTTTCAGTTTTTCTGTTCTATTTTTGCCCCATCTTTGTGGTTTTATCTACCTTTGGTCTTTGATGATGGTGACGTACAGATGGGGTTTTGGTGTGGATGTCCTTTCTGTTTGTTAGTTTTCCTTCTTACAGTCAGGACCCTCACCTGCAGGTCTGTTGGAGTTTGCTGGAGGTCCACTCCAGACCCTGTTTGCCTGGGTACCAACAGCGGAGGCTGCAGAACAGCGAATATTGCTGAACAGCAAATGTTGCTGTCTGATCGTTCCTCTGGAGATTTCGTCCCAGAGGGGTACCCGGCCGTGTGAGGTGTCAGTCTGCCCCTACTCGGGGGTGCCTCCCAGATAGGCTACTCGGGGGTCAGGGACCCACTTGAGGAGGCAATCTGTCCGTTCTCAGATCTCAAACTCCATGCTGGGAGAACCACTACTCTCTTCAAAGCTCAGCTGGAAATGCAGAAATCACCTGTCTTCTGTGTCACTCATGCTGGGAGCTGTAGACTGGAGCTGTTCCTATTCAGCCATCTTGGAACCACTGGGTATATTTTCAATAGCACCCACTCCTGGTACCAATTTACACTATTAGCCCATTTGCACACTGCTGATAAAGTCATACCTGAGACTGGGCAATTTACAAAAGAAAGAGGTTTAATGGACGTTCAGTTCCATGTGGCTGGGGAAGACTCACAATTATGGTGAACCTCAAGGAGGAGCAAGTCACATCTTATGCGGATGGCAGCATGCGAAGAGAGAGAGCTTGTGCAAGGAAACTCTCCCTTATAAAATCATCAGATCTTGTGAGACTTATTCACTGTCATGAGAGCAGCATGAGAAAGACCTGCCCCATGATTCAATTACCTCCCACTGGGTCCCTCTCAGAGCACATGGGAATTCAAGATGAGATTTGGGTGGGGACACAGCCAAACCATATCAATCACCACATGCAATTGTGCAGGTCATACATACTCTGCTTAATTTTAAGGCTGCCATTCATGCAAATTATGTGGAAAGCCTCACAACTGCACTCAGTGGCTATGAGACAGAGCTATGTAGATATCAAGAAGGGCATTCTAGGCAAAACTACATTATGTACAAGGATGTTGAGTCTGAAGTGCACCCTGGCATGTCCAATCACAGAGTAAGTGTGAGGGAGAGTAGTAAATGAGACTGGAGAATTAAGTAAGGGTCAACTTTATAGAGTCTTATGACCACTGTAGGACTTTTGACTTCTACTCTGAGATGGGAAACAATTTTAAGATGTGGAAAAGGCAACTGACAACATCTGACTTACATTTTCAAAGGGGTTCTCAGAGTCTAGATAGATTTTGAAGGTGTGTAGGACCAACAGGGTTTGCTAATGAATTACATATGGTGAGTAAGTGAAAAAAAGCCAAGGATGTTTCCAAGGTTGGGGACCTAAGCAATTGTTCTCACTCCTCTGTTTCTTTGTTTATATAGCCTATAGTTTAAAACCCAAATGGTCCTTATAAAAATTGTTGATAACATGTATTTTTAAAAAGTATTATCATTGATATTTAGACTCAGTTTTGTAACCAAATCTATTATTATGTATACATGTCACAGTTTAACTGGTTTAGTTCTCATCTGCTTTATTACTATTCTTGGGTTCATGTTTTGAACTATCTTTTGATTCCCAGGACTATTACCACATCTGACCTCTGCCCACAGCTTTCTACTCTGTAGTTTCATATTTGCAATTTCCATTTCGATATGGGATATGATGTGTAGGCAACACAAGCAAGAACAATGACTTTTTTTCCCCCCAATATCTATCCATATGATAGAGAATGGGTATGACAGAAAGATGACTACTTAGTTTTCTGCATGCAGAAAAACTTTGTATTTCTGAACCAGGGGAAAGATAGAAGATGGAAAAGCATCACATACCTACTTACAGGAAGGCAGGTCTGCCCTTTTCTAGGGGTGCAACTTGGGTAGGCCACTGATTTGGTCTTTCAATCTGGTTCCATTGACTTTGTGGAAAATATATTTCCCTGATTCTGGAAGCAGAGTGATTATTTGGTCTTGTTTTCAGTGTTTCTGTTTATTTTTCTCTTGCTCTAAACCTTCATATATTTTAGGGGGCGCTCATGCAATGTATGTGTCAGGGATAATTTGTTAGGCATTATTTTAAGCAACATACAGTGCCTTTAAATTTCCCATTACTAGATTAACAAGTTGCCTTGATTGGAGAAGACGTCAACTGAGAATAAGTTAACGTACAAAGGGAATATATTTCCATTGGATCAGCAGCGTTCTGACTTTTAATAACATTTTAAAAGGGCACCATTGCCCTCACATAGAATTACCACATGGAACATTTGTGAAAAATGACGTCTTGTGTGACATCATATGTAACATCCCACTCTTTTCTCTCATATAGACTTTCGATTTGTGTTTCTCTTGAGTAGAATTTTAAAACAAAATCCCTCGCATATATTCTTTTATTTATTCATTTATTTATTATTATTATACTTTAAGTTTTACGGTACATGTGCACAATGTGCAGGTTAGTTACATATGTATACATGTGCCATGCTTGTGCGCTGCACCCACTAACTCATCATCTAGCATTAGGTATATCTCCCAATGCTATCCCTCCCCCCTCCCCCCACCCCACAACAGTCCCCAGAGTGTGATGTTCCCCTTCCTGTGTCCATGTGTTCTCATTGTTCAGTTCCCACCTATGAGTGAGAAAATGCGGTGTTTGATTTTTTGTTCTTGCGATAGTTTACTGAGAATGATGATTTCCAATTTCATCCATGTCCCTACAAAGGACATGAACTCATCATTTTTTATGGCTTCATAGTATTCCATGGTGTATATGGGCCACATTTTCTTAATCCAGTCATTTTGAAATCTAATGGAAGAATATTGTTTTCATCTGGACCAGAAAGTAAAGAAGCTTATCTAGAAATGTAGGATGCAACATTCGAACTGTGATGATGTGGTTTTGGGTAGTGCCTTGCTCTGCCTTGGTTGCTTTGTGCATCGTCATGTTGAGGTATATTTGTGGAAACTGCTGGTATCTGTGTTCATGTGCACTTCAGTGGAACACCAAGATGTATTGCCTCTGTGAACTTCCTAGAATAGCAGCTCTAAGAATGCAGCTTTTATAGTATATATAGGAATGGCCAATTCCTATATATTTTTGTATGTATTTTTTCTATATTATATATAGAAAATATATATTATATACAAAATATATATTATATTATATAATATAATATATTATATATATATTATATTATATAATATATATATAATATATATAATATATTATATATATAATATATTATATTATATATATAATATAATATATATATTATATATTATATAATATAATATATAATATATTATATATAAAATATATGTATGTGTATATATATCCACATATATAGTTATATATTATATATAACATATATATTATATATAACATATGTGTATGTGTATATGTATGTGTATATATGTATAAGTATGTATGTATGTGTATATATAACATATATGTATGTGTATAGATATAACATATATATGTATGTGTATAGATATAACATATATATGTATATGTGTGTGTGTATATATATATGTATGTATTCTGGTATAAGTCCTTATAGGCAAAATAATATTGTCTCTTTTTAAATGTTGGACAAGGCTAGTGCCAGCCCATCAGGAAGGCCTAAAGCCTAGCCATCTGTTAACAGAAGGAAAGAAGTGCTACCAACTGAAGAGAAATGGCCTTGCACTGAAGGGAGTTTTCCTTAGGATATTCTAGTCATCATTTGTGAGTTTTGCTTCATTGAACAATAAAAACAAAAGCTGTTTTATGTTTCATGTCCTGCTTAATCATGGCTTCAGAATTCTACAATGAAGAATTTCTTTTATGGGTGATGGTGGGTTGTCAATATTCTACTGAATGATATTTTAATATAATTTAAACTTAATAGGGTTATGGAATTTGCAGATGTATACCTAGCATTGTTATTCCCAGATAACTTTGATAAAATATCTTAATATCTTATGGAAAGAATAAATAGTCCATGGTAGAAATAGAGAAAGTGATGAAGACAACTTACTGGTATTTCTTTGTTCTTCTCCAGGAAGGGCCATATGGGGTAACTTCTGGATGTTGCCATGGCATTTGTAAACAGTCGTGCTGGTGGGAGTGTCTTTTAGCATGCTAATGCATAGTAATTAGTGTATAATGAGCAGTGAGGATGAACAGAGGTCACCTTCATTGCCTTCTTGGTTTTGGTGAGTTTGGCTGACTTCTTTACTGCATCCTGTTTTATCAGCAAGGTCTTTGTGACCTGCATCTTGTGCTGATCTCCTGTCTCATCTTGTGACTAAAAATGCCTAATCTACTGGGAATGCAGCCCAGCAGTTCTCAGCCTTATTTTACCCAGCCCTTATTCAAGATGGAGTCGCTCTTGTTCAAATACCTCTGATAATGTGACATGCCTGTTCCTGCTTTGCCTTCTGTTATTAGTAAAAGCTCCCTGAGGCCTCACCAGATGCTGAACAGATGTTGACGTCATGCTCCCTGTACAGCCTGCAGAACCATGAGCCAATTAAATGCCTTTCTTTATAGATTACCCAGCCTCAGGTATTCCTTTATAGCAATGCAAATGGACTAATAAAGGGCCTCTTCTGTGTATTGCAAGAAATTAAAAGAAAGAAACAAATTTTAATACAGTAGGGGAAATGACATGTTCTGTCCAAACCATGGTAGAAAACAATCAGAATCAATTTGTCTTGTCATTCCTGTCTAGTTGCTAAAGAGATTATTCTATTTTGTTGGTGGGGATTGGGGAGAGCTAATATTTTATAGTCTTTCTGTAGAATATGATTAATTTTCTTAAAAAAAACCCCAAAAACTTAAGAGCTAGTGTTAAAAAATCTATAAATTACTTTTCTTTTTATTGTGTACTATAAGCAACTATGCATAATCTCCCACAAATGTCTTTTAACTTCTGTAATATTTAATATATTAAGAAGTTATTTAATTTCAATATTATACTTTAAATTTTTAAAACCTAATAAATAACTCGACTAAGAAAAAAAGCATGTGCCATTGGACACAGTGTGGCTTATTCTATTGTCAATATTAATTGGAAGGGTTGTGGGAATGGTCAAATTAGACCAGATTTTTCAAAATAACAGAAACTATAAGAATAAATCATATTTACCTTTGGGAAGTATTGAGGTAAATGCTTAGAAAAACAAGGCCGTTTATTTCGTTATTCTTCGTTCTGAGTCTCTGTTGGTGCTTTTCCTGGCTGTCATGCCCTAGTAACCTACTGAGGTCTCAGGTGGGGAAGCCACAGTTGGCCAGCTGTTCTAAATAATCTGCAGAATTCATTATCTATCTGTGAACAGTGTTGAAGACTATAAGTATAGCCTTCTTTTAGAAAAACCTGTGCTACAAAGACTGAAACTCACAAGGCAATCTCACAGATCATTATTCACGCAATAGAGAACTTTTTTTTTTTTTTGGTTTACAAAAGGAATTACCCTGAGATCTCTGCAAAAATCAATATCCATGTGCACCAAAACACAAATTGACTACCACAATTTATTTTGACACAATTTTCAGGAAGACTCATTGAGAAAGTAAGTACATTGAATTCTTTCTAGGGATTTTTAGAAAGGAATTTTTATTGTAATTGAAGAAATTCTCAAAATTGTTATTTCTGATAATTTTTTTTTTGCCATTCAGATCTTGGGCAGGAGTTTTAAGTCCAGATATTAAATATTAATGTACATTTCTCTGTTGAGTTGCTTCCATTACCAACAAAGGATGGATTTTTCTTCTGGAAAGTGATCGTTACAGCTTTTTAGTGGAATGCTTTACTGGTTTATAATATGAAAAGGAATCTTTGAATATTGGGTAGCTATTCTTATAAATGTTACTTAAGAAGATAGGGGATTTTCATATCTAAAACCTTAATATTGATGTCAATGGGGTACACACATGGGAATGTGAGCTATAGAATTGGGTCTTTTATTAGCAGTTACCTGATTGGAATACTTTCTATAGCCAGGTTTAAATCTCTTTTAAAGCAAAGGAAGATGATTGCCTTAAGAAGCTAAGTCAGTCAAGCTCAATAGGAGACTGTTTGCTGCACAAATAAATGCTAATGCTGTGGAATGTTATTTGTGGCAGTCTACTCCTAAATACCTTAACTTTCTCTTTTGCTATTCCAAATGCTCAATTAAATTCTTCAGTTTTTTTTTTTCTTGTGGAGAATAACTTGAACATACAATTAGTTCCATCTGAAGCAAGACTATATTAACCTGTTATTTCTAGGCTGCATTTGTGTATTTTATATACTAGCTTTAAAATGATTCAATAATGAATTTTCAAATCATGACAAAGTAATTCTATTAATGCACTGAGATATGTGGTTGAATGAATGCCAATTTTTAAGGCAGTATTACATTATAATGGTTTCCAATTAAGATTTTCCTTACTATAAATTTTTTATAGCACTTTTTTCTGAATCTATTTTCATAGTTTATGCTACTGTAGCAGGACAAGCCACAGACAAAACCCCTCAGACACCGAGTTAAAGAAGGAAGGGCTTTATTGGGCCGGGAGCTTTGGCAAGACTCATGTCTCCAACAACCAAGCTCCCTGAGTGAGCAATTCCTGTCCCTTTTAAGGGCTCACAACTCTAAGGGGGTCCACGTGAGAGGGTCATGATCGATTGAGCAACCGGGGGTACGTGACTGGGGGCTGCATGCACAGGTAATTAGAATGGAACAGAACAGGACAGGGATTTTCCCAGTGCTTTTCTATACAATGTCTGTAATCTATAGATAACATAACTGATTAGGTCAGGGATCCATCTTTAACTACCAGGCCCAGGGTGTGGCGCTGGGCTGTCTGCTTGTGGATTTCATTTCTGCCTTTTAGTTTTCACTTCTTATTTCTTTGGAGGCAGAAACTGGACATAAGACAATATGAGGGGTGGTCTCCTCCCTTACTGCTACTGAGAAACCACACTAAATAGAAACAAAAATGGATTTCAAATAAGACCCAGGAGTAGGACTATGCTCATTAGAGATATAAGAAGATAGCACAAATGTATATCTTTTCTTATAAAGCCAGTGACAAGGAATTTGAATTTTATTGTGCTTTTATTTTATAAATTAAAGGACATTATTATTTGGATAGTGCTTTGGAAAACATGACTTTATTTTGAAATGTTTTTTTTTTCTACAAAATGTTGAGTTAGCAGGTTTATGTGGCAATAGAGAAACAGAAAAATAATGCAATGAAGAGCCAGCTATCATTGAAAAAACTCTCCTTTTGAAAGCTTATAGTGGAAAATATGAGACAGTGATGCAAACGTTTTCTGTACATACTAAATTTATTATAGAAATTATACATTATCATTTTATGAAATTAAAATCTAATCTTGAATTTGACGTCAAGGAGGGGAAGTTTGAATTGGAACACTATGCCCACTCTGTTTAGTAAGACTGAGGAACTTGATTCCTTTAGCCTCTGATGAAGGAAATTCAGTGCTTTATAGAGGAATTTAATGCTCAATGCAACCATGAAATTCTTACATATATATATATATATATACAAAGCAAAACTTCTCTTTATAGTTTAGCTATGAAACTTAAATTTATGACAGCAATGTATACAATTGTACATATTTTATTATTTAAAGCAAAAATACCTATTGGTTAAGATTAAAAGAATCTTCAGAGAGAAGTGCGATGTGTGGACTTTGTTTGGATCCTAACAACCACATCTAAAAGGACAGTTCTGAGATAACTAGGGAAGCTGAATGTGGATTAGAATGTTGACAATATTAAAAAGATTTTTGAAAGTTTGTTGGGCATAATAATGTTGCAGGACTTTTCCTTAGTTCAGCTAAAGACGAGGTCCTTTTCCGTCCCACGACCATGAAAATTTAGGCTTGCAGATGGGTTGAAGGGTGAGTAAGACAGGGTTTTATTGGGTGAAAAGGGAAAAAAAGGTGAAACAGCGATCCTCCGCAAAGCCAGAGTCCCTGGTAGAACGCTCCTGCCCACAGCTTGAATTCCAGGTTTCACACAGGAAGAGGAGTGGGGGCCAGGCTCCTCCCCACGGCAAAGGGCGCAAACTTTCTTAGGCTCCACCGCAGTGCGCATTCTCAAGGCACTGGCCAGTTGGAGTTTTTCTGGGGACCCCCTCCTACCTGGCTGTCTCAATAATAGAATTGTGTTTAGTTTTTCTTTAATTTTCTTTTATCTGTTAGAGATAATTTGCCAGAGTATTTCTAGGAGAAATAATATGGATTTCAAATAATATAGCATTTTCTTTAAAATACTCCAGGAATAAACTTGAAGGGGGTTGGTAAAACAAGAACAGCAGAAAGTTGATTGTCAAAGCTGAACAAAAATGTATAAAATCTTTCATAATAAAAAGTTGAAAAAAGTAAAGTATTTATATCAGAATATATTCATTCAAGGGAGTATTATCATTAAGAGTAGTCACCTTGGAAGGGTTTATGCTTATTATGTATGATTCCAATAGTAATAGTGTTAAAGTAGCTCTGAAACACATCTTTCGGAATTGCACTCATAACAGTGGAATTCTCAGGATTTGAGCCACATGGCTTATGTTGGTGTCTGGGTTTCAGAAGGAGCAAGGTAGTGTAGTCTTTGTCAGTAAACACAGTGCATTCAAAGACAAGAGAAAAATTTAAAGTCAGAGTTTATTTGGAAAAGTAGTAGTTCAAACATTGGGAAAATCATTGCTAACACCTGGTTCAAAGACTCAGAGGTAGAATCAAATGCTGGATTCAAGATCTACGAGTCTGGAGTAGAATGAAGATGAGATGGAGTTGAGAAATACTGTTAAACAAGCTGAGGGCAGAGGAGTATGATTAGAGAAGAGCTATGACCATTGGTAGGTGTCCATTGCTCCCCTAGGTGGGCGGGTGGGTGGGCAAGAGTATAGGCAAAAAGCCCACATGGGAAAATCAGGCACCTTATCTTAGAAGTGCACCTCAGCGTGGAGCCTAGATTTGATCACCCAGTTTGGTCATCTACTTTTAGTCATTGAACTCAGCTCTGAATGACTTTTGTCTATATTTACAAATGAGATCTACCCTGAAGAAATGCCACTCTGGACAATATTAAAAAAAAAAATATGCCACAGGTTCTAAAGGTCATTCCAAAGTAAGAATTTGCAAAAGACTAGCCAATAGAGTCCTTGAAATAAACATGTGGCTCCCTTTCTTAAAGAAGGCAAAACTTGTTTATATAATGTAAACATTCATTATGGTTGTTAAAAATTCAGCCATATTACTTTGTGATTATAGCTCAAAACTGCTATTGCTTTGTACTTTCTAACTTAAAGATGACAAGATTAAGTAGTATAACTAAATTATAATAATTCAGAGAAAAGGGAAGGGTGTATATTTGTGTTTGTTCATATATTTGTTTGTGTATATGTGTGTGTGTGACAGAGAAAGTGATAGATAGAGAGATAGAGAAAAAATGAGAGACATTTATTTCTACCTCTGAGCAGCTGCCAGTTCTACCTTCCTACCTCCTACTTTAATGTAATCTATCTTGGATCTTATAACAATTGACTCGGTCATTGATTCATGTGAGAAGCAGCACTGATTCCTCTAAAAGGTTGTCTATTTATTCATTAAATGTCACCCACCTTGTCATATACCATAGCATGAGAGCACCTTACCTGACCCTTGGGAACATTGAGATAAATGCAGTCACTTCATTTCCTCCTGCATGGATCCCTCACCACCTCGCCAAACAAAAATGAGGATGTTGTTGATAAATGCAAGGTTGATGCTGACACACGTTCCCACTCACACACAAAGCAGAAAAACAAGGCCCCTCATGATTGCCATCTAGACAGAAATCATTGCAAAGGAGCCCTTGATGCTGCAGGATCCCTCTTCTGTCACCACCCATATGAACTGGAGATTGCTCTGCTAGTGACACTACCCTGGGGAGAGGAGGGAGGAAGACATTTGCAAACATTTCTTCTTTTCTTCTTTGCACATCTCACAGTCATACTGTATACCTGACATCTGACACATGAATGCATTATCAAATCATTAGTCCCCATCAAATATGTGGTGATTGAATCTTCTGTCAGTCAGTGCAATATAGATCCAGAAGAGAAGTAGTTAAGTGGTAATGGATTTGCTCTAGGCATTTCACAACCTATTGGTCCTAATTGGACTGAAAAAGGGTTGCTACAGAAGACTTGAAAATTTAAATAATGCATTTTATAGTTCTCATATATTTTTCCTAAACAAGCCAACATGAACTAGGAAAAAGAAAGATTTCTCAAAGTAATATCAGGTTTGGTTTTTCAAAACATATAGCTGAAGTTTTATTTGTAATTGATGAAGTGGCTTAGCAAATCTTAAAATGGTATTCTGGGCATAGTGCATGCAAGAAGCTTATAGCATGTATTACCTAAAAGATGTAGTTGCAAAAGAAATTTAAACTGATCACTAGAAACACAAAAAATAAATTGTAGAAAAGCACAGATTTCCCAAACAAGGAGCAGGATGTGATCTGAAATCGGCATGGGTCCTGTTGATGTTAAACTTGGAGAAAGAAGAGCAGAGAGGTCATTTATTACACAAGCTTTAATGAGCTCTCTTGCAGCAGCAACGGTGGAGGTACTCTGAAATATCCAGAACCCTCAGATGCAACGTTTGGAGAGACACACAGACATTTGCAATAATCTATAGGAACAGTGGCAAAAGCATTAATTAAAGCTGTTGCAGTTTCTTGCAATCCAATGAGATTGAGATTTCAGCTAGTTGTAGTACAGTAAATGGAGGAAAGAAACCAAAGCTGTTTGTCTCATATGCAGGCCAATTTTGTATGCACAATCAAATTTTATTTCTTATATTCTCTAACAGCTGCTGAAACCCATTGAGGGTTTGGAAGTCATGATACAACATTAGTAAGAAAATTAGAGTGGTGGCAAATCATAAGTTGCTTTCTGAGCAACACAGTAGGAGGTCAGTTAATATTAAATATCCACAGCCTGTGTGCACAGTCACATTTCCTAGGAGAGTCTAAGCAAAATACAGCCTTCGGGGATACACACTTAGTAGTTTTTGCATAACAATAACTAAGATGCTGATGCCAGCTAATGAAATTCTAATACTGAAGAAGGGCCCCCAAGGCTTAGAACAAAGCTCTCTAGGAAAACAAGGATAGACTCCCTGTTTAGAAAGTAAACAGTCAATGTCATGTATTTATTAATTCAACATAAATTTATTGAGGGCTTTTCCTCTGTCAATTTTGGATAGGCCCTGGAGATGTCCTAGTGGGAAAATACAGAGTCTATCCCTTAACCCATAGAGTTTAACGACTAGAGGGAAACAGATTTTAATGAAACATCCACATAAATAAGTGTATATTTGCAAACTGTGAAAATTGCTTTGAAGTAACCGTACCTAGTACTACAAAAGCATGTAACAGAAGAAACTGACCTTAACTGGGGAGGGTAATCAGAGAATATGAGGAGTGACTAGGAATTCTAGAAGGAGAATGCAAGATAACTCTTTTTAGTAGGAAATGTGCAAAAGGTCTTGACCCAAAGAAGCACAGTGCTTTTGAAAACTGTTGAAGAGCATAGAGCAAGGAGTGTGATATGAAATGAGATAAAGATGGAGATGAATACACATAGGCAGACACCAAACCCATGAAGGCCACAAGAATTTTTTATCCCACAAACAATAGGAAACCACTGAAATTTAGGCAGAGGGGTGTCATAAGCCTATTGATGTCATCACTTTGGGTAAAATATTAATATTAAAATATTATTAACAAAATACTAATATGAAGAATGGATTTGAAGAAGGCAAGAAGATTGATATAGCCAGTGGCCCAGGAAAAGAGGACGGCAGGTTGGACAAGGATGGTAATGAAATACTTGGAGAGCCATGAACAATTCATGGAGAGATATTTAGGAAGTAAAATACACCGGTATTAATACAGTTTTAGATATGGAGGAGGGAATAAATAAGAAGGAGGTGTTAAGGACGACTCCTTGATTCTGACTTCCATAAGAAGATGGATAGAGAACCCTGGAAAAGTAACTGGTTTATTACAAGTTCATTTGGGGGCATACATTGAGTTTGGGCTAACTTCGGTGCACATAAATGGAGGTTTTTGACTCCCATTAGACCTAGATCTAAGCCAAGAAGTCTGGGATGAATATACAAATTTTTGTGTCATTAAAATGTGGAAACTGAAGCTATGGGTATACATGAAATCATCAATGGAAAAAGTAGAAAGTGGAAAGAGAGGGCAGATAGGACAAAACCTGGAGGAACTATAATATTTAACACAGTGATTCTCAAAGTATGGTTCCCTGTCCAATAGCATGAGAATTCCCTGGGAATCTATTGGGATTGCAAATAGACCTAAAGCATTATAAACCCAGGGGTGAGGCTCAGCAAACATGCTCAGCAACAGGCCTCCTGATGTTTCTAATGCCACTGGTATCCGGGAGAATAAAGGAGGACATGTTTGTGAAGATTACTGAGACTGAGCCACCTGCTAGATGGTAAAAAGAAAACCAGAAATGTATGGGGTCATTAGGGTAAGGGAAGAGAATAGTTCAAGGAGAAGGTCAAGGTCAGCAGGGTCAAATGGTGGTGGGAGATCAAGTGAAATTGAGACCACTTTTGACTTTAGAGAAAGCTGTTTCGGTCAACGCTTGGTATGAAAACAAACTGGAGTGAGTGGGATAGGAAGAAAGGGAATAATGAATATAAAAAATTCTTTGAAATTTGAATAGGCTAGGAATCTGGAGGAGAAAAGGGGATGCATTTTATGATATTAATGTCATGAACATGTTTAAATGCTGATGGAAAAGAGATGTAAGATTCAGAGGAATATAGAGGAGGCAGATGTAGTCCATTAGTAGCGAGAGTTCTTGGGAAAGTAAAGGGCATGGTCCAAACCCAGACAGAAAGATGCATCTAGATCTACTTCTCTCTTGTAGCTTAAGGCATGAGTGAACAGAGCACTGTTTCATACCATTTTCTCCTGCTTATGCTCCAGCCACATGGACTTTTTTTTTTCTTCTTCCTTTTTTGGGCTCCTTGAACCTGTAACAAATGTGTCCTTCTTTGGGACCTTGGTCTTCCTTTTCCCTCTTGATCTTCCCATGGCTGACTTTAGTCATTTCAGCCATAATTTAAATGCTAGCTTCTCAGAGAGGCTTTCCCTGAGCACCGTATCTTATGTCTCACTCCCTATAACCATCCCTAATCATTGCCTACTGTGTTATCCTATCTTGCATTCCTTATGGCACTTTTCCCTCTCTGAAATTATATTATTTGTTCACTGGTAGGTAACTTGAAGGGAGAGAGCTTTGTCCTGTTTGTGGGTACAGCTGTAGTTTTTAGGATGGTATCTGGAGTATAGGTGGTAAGCAATCTATAAGCAAACATTTGTTGAAGGAAAGAATAAAAGAATGAGTTTAGATACATCTGTACATTTGATACAGGGAGGTAGAGGAGTTTTCTTTGGCTGGATTCTATTTTCTCTCCAAGGAATAAAAGGGAGATCATCTTCTGAGACCAAATTTAGGGGAAATGGGGATGTTAGAAGTTTGTTGATGAGTGGAGAAGGTTTTAACTAGTTCAGAACGTGGTGGGGTGAGCATACCACAGAAATCCAGAAATAATCCCAGGCAGTATTAACAGTCAATTTGAGGATGATAAGCTTGAAATTTGACTGGTACAAATTGCTCTGCGGGGTGACTCTCCCAGTGATATTCAGATAAGTGGATGAAGACATGGGAAAAATGACAATTGGATGACTTAGTGTTGGTATTTTTCTAAGTGGTGTAACAAAAACTCAGGAAGCCCAGGAGACTTTGGAGTACTGGCAGGCATGTTATTGGTGTCCTAGACTTCAGGGCCTGATGAGTTTAAAGGAATAGTTGAACAAAAAACATCAAAGTTGGGAAAGTTGTAATCAAAGAGTTAGATGTCTGAATTGGAGATGTTATAAGAGTCACTTCCATGATACCAAGGATGAATGTGTGGCTGAGGTGGAGATGGAAGAAGTACATCTAGAAATGAAGATCAGTGAATTGGGTTTTTAACTTCTAAAGTGTTTTGAGATCGTGAAATATTTCATAATCCAACCAGAAATTTCAAGTCTTAATACTTAACTAAAAATAAGAACAGATAATAATTAGCTTCCAAATCCCAAACCGTGAGTGTAATTAGTAGGTGTAATCATAATGGTAGCATGTCATTTTTGTGGAGGCCGTAGAATTGCATCTCTGAATTATGAATGATACAATGAAAGCTTATTACTTCATTACACTAATTAAGAATTAGTGATAATTTGGTTACCAGCTAGACTGATACTTTGTTTCATTAGCGAAAGAGTTATAGAGTAAGAAGAAATGTATTTGTATATTGATTCTGTCACTTTTATCTATGTGTATGGCTTCAGGCTAGCTTATTTACTAAGTCTCTTGTTTTTGCATCTGTGAAAAAGAAAATTAAATGTCTTACAGCATTATTGTGAAGATTAAATGAGAACATGTAGGTGAAAGGGTTTGAAAACTATTAATCCTCATTCAGAACAAAGGCCTTATAATCTACAAAAATATACGTGTTAAGGAAATTCATATTATCATAATTTTTAATAAGCAGTCAATAAAATGCTTTTTTACAAGTAATTTTTAAAGTATTATTACAAATAATATATCAAATTACAATCATTCTTAATTACATATTAAAGTAGACCAAAAAGAACTGGCCTATTTGCCAACTGTATATAAAATTAATAAAAACGCATTTATTGAAATTAGTTTAGAATCCCAATTTTCCAGTTCCCAGAGTATACATTTGTTTTGTTATTTTAAAGTATAGCAATTCTAGGACCATGACTCTGTATGTGTGTGTGTGTGTGTGTGTGTGTGTGTGTAGCATACCTGTAACTTCTATAACTTTTTTCTTTTTAGAGCAAAGTACACACCCATAATTATTATTTTCATCTGGATCTCAACTAGTTCAATTGTGGAAGCATCAGTTTCTTATACCAATAATTAAATTGATCAGTACAATTTGTCTATTAAAATCACATACTGTATTTTATTATAGTTTTGTGGTATTTTTATTTGAGGAGACATGCAGTGGCTCAACCTAGTATTTGATGTTGTGAGCAGAAAGAGACAGATGAAAGAGGTAATTTATTTATTTGTATCAAGAAATGGGGACAAACATCATTTTTACAATATGATCAATGAGGCCAGGCGTGGTCGCTCATGCCTGTAATCCTCACACTTTGGGAGGCTGAAGTGGGTGGATTGCTTGAGCCCAGGAGTTGGAGACCAGCCTGGGAAACATGGCTGTATTAGTCTGTTCTCATATTGCTATAAAGAAATACCTGAGACTCAGTAATTTATAAAGAAAAGAGGTGTAATTGGCTCACAGTTCTGCAGGCTGTACATGAGGCATGGCAGCATCTGCTTTTGGGGAGGCCTTAGGGCGCTTTTATTCATGGTGGAAAGCAAAGTGGGAGCAGGTGCCTTACATGGCAGGAGCAGGACAGAGAGAGAAGAGGAGGTGCTACACACATTTAAACAATCAGATCTGATGAGGCCTCATTATCAAGAGAACAGCACCAAGGGGATTGTGAGAAACCATTTATAAGAACTCTGTCCCCGTGATCCAATCACCTCTCCCAGGCCCCACCTCTAATATTGGGGAATTACAATTTGATGGGAGATTTGGGCAGGGACACAGATCCAAACCATATCAATGGCAAAACCCTGTCTCTACAATTAAAAAAAATACAAAAATAGTGGTCATGGTGGTGCACGCCTGTAGCCTCAGCCACTTGGGAGGCTGAAGTGGGAGGATGGCTTAAACCTGAGAGTTGGAGGTTGTAGTGAGCTGTAATCACACCACTGCACTGCAGCCTGGGTGACAGAGCCAGATCCTCTCTCAAAAAGAAACAGCCAGCCAACAAACAAACAAAAAACAAAACCCAGTAGGAACAATGACCATATCTTCAAATCTTCTACTTACTGACTTGACGATACCTGTAGTCAACCCCTCCCATGCTTTTTACCTGGTTGCTCAATGGGAATCTAACTACTCCTGTGGATGAAAAATTATGACTGTATTATCCAGTGTGTATCTAGGCACTGCCTAATGAAGACACCACTTGAAAATTCTATGAATATTTATTTTGATTGCTTACATCTAGGTTGTCTCAAACTATTAAGAGAAGGAAGCTAGGTTCTTTATTTTCCCATCTCAACTCACTGAAGTCCAGGCTCACCTGTCTATCAAGTGAAAATGGTATTTAATTGGTGGCTGCTGAGAACGTTTAACAAAAAGTCACCAATACTATTTCCCATGCTGTGGATGGTTTCTGAGTTTAATTTGCCAGGGCACCAGCAAATATGCATACATTTTCAGTAAATATTTTGTTATTTTACAATTCTTGGAAGGAAATTCTTAATTTATGTTTTTTCCTTCACTTGTTATGGAAAACATTACTCAGGAACAATACAAATCATTGTACCATAGGTAGGAGTAAGGGAAGTAGAATATTTGCAAGTTGCATGTAATAAAGGGGAAACAGGTCAAATACAATATTTGTAACAATGATGCAAGTTTTTTTCCCTTCAAGTTGGATACACAGGAAGAAATGTAATTAAGCAAACGAAGTTTGTGATTAATGTTGCCTCCTGATTAAAAAAAACCAACACAATGATTTGAATTCTTTTATGTTTTTCCATCTTCTGGAAGATCATAAAAGTCAAACCTGGGCCATGTGGCTCACAAAGAAAACATTCTACACACACTGTCTTTCAAGGAAAAAGTCAAAACTTAATTTTTACCAAGAAATGAGGAGAAACCTCTCATTTTTACAATATGATCAATGATCACAAAATAACTCCACATCCTCTATGTTTTTTCCTCCACTTGTTACGGTGCCACCTTTGATTACAGAGACCGGGAAACTCATTTCCTTTCTACCCTTGAGTGGCACTAGCATGGGGGCCTGGGTGTGCCAACATGTTCTTTAGTGTCAGTGACAGGTGGGGACTCCTGACCAGGCAATGAACAGGGATGGATGTTTCAGGGACTAACCAGTCAAAGGGGCTAGTGTCAAGGCAGGGCAAAGGCCAAGAAACAGAAATCCCAAATAATGTCTGGCACTCTGCAGTCCTTGTCATGGCTTACCTCACTCGCTACATCCTCCTCACACTTTGATTTTCAGCCACATGGAGCTTCTTTCATTTACTAGAGCAGTAGTGTATCTAGAAGCAGAAAGAATGTGGTGGGACCAGGGGAGACACACTGTGCGTGAACACATGCTTCAAAAGCAGTGCTGTTTCAGAATGAGAGGTGGGGAAGGAGGTTGAAGACAGGCCCCATATCACCTGGGGGCAGACCCTGACTACACTTACGATTCAAGAGGCCACTCATATACTCATTCTCTCTCTCCCCAATCTGTCTACATGCAGTTCCTTTCCCTGATCTTCTCTTTTCTCTTGGATGACTGTTACTCATACTCTAGCCCTCAGCTTAGACATTACTTTCAATAGGAAGCTTTCCTCCATCTCCCCCAGTCTGGGCTAGGTGCTTCTTTTCTATGTCCACGGCCTCATTCTGTAGCTCAGCATTCATCCCACAGTTTTATAATAGCCTAGTGCCTGGATACTTCTGTAATCCAGATACTCTCTAAGGAAGGACACCCTGGCTGTCCAGTATTTCCTGTGTCTGCCAGACCTCCTGGAATATAATAGTGATGTGACAAATACTTGTTAAATGGATGAATGAATGATGAATGAACTGCAACAACATGCATCCCATCTCCAGTGGATTGGAACTACAGTTCTGTTCTAATGTCACCGTCACATCTGTGTCAATGAAACATCAGAACTGCCATGGAAGAAGGAAGTACATGTGTTTTGTTTTTGGTGTAACCATTAATTAGGAGGCCTTAAAATAAGTCTTAAAAGATTGCACTCAGTTAATTGATTAAAATATCAATATCTATGTAATGACTTTATTATTTATAAAATAGTAGAATGTACATGCATGATGGTATAAGTTAATGTTTATGCAGCTTCCATAACTATTATTTATGGCAGTGAATATAAATCTGAAATGACGAACATTTTTTTTAAAGTCTGAAATAAGTCGCATACCTACAAAGCCATTTGAGGATGGTATGGTAGCTGTCTTACTGCTTTTGTGTGAGAGTAGGTGGGAAGACACATTCTAGAAGTGTTATCACTTAAGACAACACAAGGAAAATTTCTGCTGAGGGTCAAGTTTGAACTTAAATATGATGGGTGAAAATAAACTTTGGTAACACTCAAAAGAGGCTAATTATAATGAATTTGAGCTTCCCTGGGAAATTCCTAACAGGGATTTGACAGTATTAACTTTGAGTGGGGCAAAGGTTTTTATTTTAATAGTTTGTCATACACATAGAATGTGGGAGAAAGGACCATTTTCATATTCTACTATGTCCTCAGCATCTCTTTTGGGAGGAAATTTCTCAATTGTGTTAATTCCACTGTCTAAATAGCTCTTTAATACACACCCCACTTTGTTTCTTCCTACCTACTGCAACTAATTTGAATGGCTTTCCTCTGTATTTTTAACCTATTAGGTTGGTGCAAAAGTAATTATGGTTTTGTGATTAAAAGTATTAAATAATCACAAAAACCAAAATTACTTTTGCACTAACCTAATATTGCTGGGCAGCCCTCTCATGGGCTCTTACTTGATTCTAGTCTCTTCATTCTTAGTAAATTTGCTGCATCCATTAAAGCAATAATCTAAAGCAGGGATTGGAAAATCTCTTTCTGTAAAGGGCAAAATATTAAATATTTTAGACTCGTGATCCATATGATCTATGTTGCAACTATTCAACTACCTGTAGTATTGCACATGCAGCTATAGACAATACATAAATGAATGAACATGGCTGTGTTCCAATAAAACTTTTTTATGGGCACTGAATTTCATGTAATGTTCACATAAATTATTATTATTCTTTTGATTTTTTTTCCAGCCATTTAAAGATGTAAAAATCATCTTGCTCACAGGCTATACAGAAAGAAGAGGTGGAGGTGGGTCAACTTTGGCTTATGGGCCATGGTCTTTTTTTTTTTTTTTTTTTTGAGATGGAGTCTTGCACCGTCGCCCAGGCTGGAGTGCAGTGGTACGATTTTGGCTCACTGCAACCTCTGCCTCCCAGGTTCAAGGGATTCTCCTGCCTCAGCCTTCTGAGTAGCCGGGATTACAGGCACCCGCCAGCACACCCAGCTAATTTTTTGTATTTCTAGTAGAGATGAGGTTTCACCATGTTGGACAGGCTGTTCTCGAACTCCTGACATCGTGATTCGCCCTCTTTGGCCTCTCAAAGTGCTGGTATTACAGACATGAGCCACCGCGCCCGGCCAGGCCATAGTCTTAAGTGTGACTGTGACTTTCTCTTGACACACTTAAGATACTGATTCACCTGCTGTGACAGGTGGCCACTATACATTGGCTTAAACTAGATGGCACTCACAGTGGAGGCCCTGTTCCAATGTCTTCAGTCCCTGTGGATCTCCATTCAGTTTTAAACATCTTGGAAAGAGAGAGTGACTGGCCTAGTTTGAATTGAAGACCACCTTGTAGACAGGATATGGTGGCATATTGTCAATGATACATCCAACAAGGTAGCATGAAGTGGGTGAGAGGCAGTTCCAAGAAGGGGATACCTTTCCACACAAGAAAAAACCAGATATCTGTTACAAAGGTTTGGGGAAGATATGCTAGATAAAAGTTGATATTTGTTTTTGCATAACTGTCCAAGAGTAATTTATGTGTGGAACACGGAACTGAGGATCCAGGAATCTTCAATCTATTTGGTCCCATCCTCAAGGCTTTGCACTCATTTGCATGATCCAGATTGCCTCACCATCACTGTGTTTACATTCCCAGTAGAAGGGGAAGAAGGCAAGGAGATGGCAAGTACCTTCCCTTTAAGAGTATAGCCACAACTTGCATGTATTAATTTTGTTTACTTCCTAGTGGTCAGAATGTGGTCACATGGCCATATCTAGCTATTGAGAGACCCTGGGAAATGTATTCTTTATTCTGCGCATTGATGTGTCCAACTTAAAGTTGCAAATGCTAATGCATAAAAAGAAAGAAAGAAATGGAGGCAGGGACATCTAGCAATATCTGTTCTTATCTCTCTTTAGCATTCTGAGAGAATAATCTGGCTTTACTAATCTAACATCTTTAACCATTCCCGTCCAATTTTCCATCACTTCTCAATTTGAATCTGAGTTCTAGTTTAACATGTGTAGTAGTTCCCAAAGGCAAGACGACTTCTTGCTTTTGCCAAAGCTCCTTTGCTTAGAGTACACTCCCTGCTTCTTTCTATCTGGTAAAATGGATATTCTCTTTCCAAGAGAGTTCACATTCACATGTTGCTTCTTGAAAATTCTTTCCCTAAATTTAAATTTGTGTTGTATTATCCCATGCTGGGATAGAAGCTGCTAAGTGCAGTAGTAAAATCTCAATCTATGTTTGTTGAATGAATAAATGATAGGATGCCTTTACCCATCATTATCCAGATGGATTTTACTGCCTGTCAAGAGTCTGTTGGACTCAGAGAGGAAAAGGAGGCAGGCAGGGAGTGAAGGGGTGGAGGAAGGAAAGATTGGTTAGGGTCCTCTGATTTAAAGAAACAAAATTCAGTCTCAAAAACTTAAACAAAAGAGGGCTTACTAAACACATACTAGGGAGCTCCAAATTAAAGAAACACTCACAAAACAACTGGGTCTGAGGATGAAAAGGAAACAAAGGAGCACAGGAGAGCTTCTCAAGCACACACAATGGATGCCCTGTTCCAATGTCTTCAGTCCCTGTGTGTCTCCATTCAGTTTTAAACACCTTGGGGAGAGAGAGAGGGACTGCCCTAGTTTGAATTAAAGACCACCTTGTAGTTACGATATGGTGGAATATTGTCAGTGATACCTCCAACGAGGTAGCATGGAGTGGGTGAGAGGCAGTTACCCAAAGAAAGGGATACCTTTCCCCACAAGAGAAAAACAGGTGTCTATTACAAAGGTTTGGGGCAGCCATAACATATTTGTGCTCCACCACTGCTCCTTGAAGATGTTTTCTTATTCTGCTGTGGAGGTAGCATGCTAGTCTTGGAACTCTACTCATGGCATGGCGGCTTGAGGTGGTAGGGGCTTTTCCGTCCTGTGGTCTGTCATGGGAGTCTTAGCTTACAGTGTTGACAGGCTCTATCTCTGTGAGTCTTTTCAGGAGTAGAAGAGGAGGACAAGGACGTAGAAAAATTCCTGATGACATTCCAAGTGGAGAAGAGAAAGACAAGAAATGTAGGCTTTTTTTTGTTTTTCAAAGAAAGATGTTTTTCCTGAATCTAGTTCAAAATCATTGATTCACCGTTTTGATTGGTTAATCTCCCCCACAAAAGGAATTAGAGATGAGATTGAAAAACTACCTTGTTTTTATTATTACTGTCATTCCAGAAACCCAAAGCAGAGGGCTTTACTATAAAATTTATATATACCCAAGATAAAAGAAAGAAGATATAGCTTCATCAAAGCTACAGAAATTATGTATCATTAAATATCTTGAACATAAACGTGGTATTAGGGTTGAGACAAAGTAGTATATGTAGGAATATATAGTAAATAACATGAGAGACTAAACTGAAATTAAAAAGATTTGGAGGAGAAAGACCTTTGACAAACACATCCGTAGAATATCTTGAACAATGACAGAACATTGGCAGTAGAAGCTTTGGAGGGAAACAAATTATTCTGAGGGAAAATGTGAGCTGATTCTTAGGAAGTCATACCAGGTGCATTTACCTATGAGGGCTTAGCTGAAACAGCCAGCACAGACACAGGCAAAAGAACTACATGGAGAACAGTTTAAGACACTGAAAAATTGCATAAATGTCATGTGTTGCATCAGGCAGTGTTTAGTGCAAGAAACAAAAATACTCCATGCCTTTTTATTAGGGATCTAGTACATGAAATTTGATGCTTATAAATTATTACAGGGAAAGAAGTGGGTTCTAAGGTGGACCTCCAGGAAAGACTTCCAGAAGAGTTCATAATTTATTTCAGGATCCTACCACCTGTCACATCATGAGGGGTGCTATGAGTTCAGGCATATATCCCAATGATCTATAATAAAGCAAATCTGTAATAAAGCAGCTGAAGCAGACAACTTCCTCTCATCACCTGGGAATCTGGAGAATGGACCCACAGCTGTGATCCAAAGATTAGAAAGTCAGAAGTAAGAAACTGATGCAGTCATCTCTTAGCACCTAGACAGCTGACAAACAAATGCTGGATCACTGCCGATTATTGCTGATACCAGCTCCCATTTCCATGGCACTGTATGCCGACAAGGAAAAACAAAAAAGAAATAGGACAAATTTTTCACCTTAACGTTTTTCTCCCAAATTGTGCATAGGTGCATCCAATTGGCATAATCTAATTTGCATGAAGAATCTTAGATACAAGGGAATCTAAACATTTAGTTTTAAGCTTTCTAGTCCCCCCAACTATAAGAAAGATAGAATGGAGCTTAAGAATGCTAACCTTACCGAGCACCTGGGGAAAGAAGTGGCTGTGGGTGCAGCTTCAGTAGACTTAAACGTTCCTATCTGCCGGCTCTGAAAAGAGCAGTGGATCTCCCAACACAGCGCTTGAGTTCTGCTAAGGGACAGACTGCCTCAAGTGGGTCCCTGATCCCCATGTCTCCTGACAGGGAGACACCTCTCAGCAGGGGTCCACAGACATCTCATACAAGAGAGCTCCAGCTGGCATCTGGCGGGTGCCCCTCTGGGACGAAGCTTCCAGAGGAAGGAGCAGGCAGCAATTTTTGCTGTTTTGCAGCCTCTGCTGGCGATACCCAAGCAGGGTCTGGAGTGGACCCCCAGCAAACTTTAGCAGACCTGCAGAAGAGGGGCCTGTTAGAAGGAAAACCAACAAACAGAAAGCAATAGCATCAACATCAACAAAAAGGATGACCACGCAAAAACTTCATCTGAAGGTCACCAACAGCAATGACCAAAGGTAGATAAATCCACAAAGATGAGGAAAAACTGGGCAAAAAGGCTGAAAATTCCAAAAACCGGAATGCCTCTTCTCCTCCAAAGGATCACAACTCCTCACCAACAAGGGAACAAAACTGGATGGAGAATGAGTTTGATGAATTGACAGAAGGCTTCAGAAAGTGGGTAATAATAAATTCCTTTGAGCTAAAGGAGCATAATCTAACCCAATGCAAGGAAGCTAAGAACCTTGAAAAAAGGTTAGATGAATTGCTAACTAGAATAACCAGTTTAGTAAAGAATATAAATGACCTGATGGAGCTGAAAAACACAGCACGAGAACTTCGTGAAGCATACACAAGTATCAATAGCTGAATCGATCAAGCAGAAGAAAGGATATCAGAGATTGAAGACTAACTTAATGAAATAAAGCGAGAAGACAAGATTAGAGAAAAAAGAATGAAAAGGAACGAGCAAAGCCTCCAAGAAATGTGGGACTGTGTGAAAAGACCAAACCTATGTTTGATTGGTGTACCTGAAAGTGACGGGGAGAATGGAACCAAGTGGGAAAACACACTTCAGGATATTGTCCAGGAGAACTTCCCCAACATAGCAAGACAAACCAACATTCAAATTCAGAAAATACAGTGAACACCACCAAGATACTCCTCGAGAAAAGCAACCCCAAGAAACATTAATTGGCAGATTCATCAAGGTTGAAATGAAGGGAAAAATGTTAAGGGCAGCCAGAGAGAAAAGTCTGGTTACCCACAAAAGAAGCCCATCAGACTATCAACAGATCTCTGCAGAAATCCTGCAAGCCAGAAGAGAGTGGGAACCAATATTCAACATTCTTAAAGAAAAGAATTTTCATACCAGAATTTCATATCCAGCCAAACTAAGCTTCATAAGTGAAGGAGAAATAAAATCCTTTACAGACAAGCAACTGCTGAGAGATTCTATCAGCACCAGGCCTGCCTACAAGAGCTCCCGAAGGAAACACTAAACATGGAAAGGAAAAACCGGTACCAGCTAGTACAAAAAAAATCCAAAATGTAAAGACCATCAACACTATGAAGAAACTGCATCAACTAAAGGGCAAAATAAATAGCTCGCATCATAATGACAGGAGCAAATTCACACATAACGATATTAACCTTAAATATAAATGGGCTAAATGCCCCAATTAAAAGGCACAGACTGGCAAATTGGATAGAGTCCAAGACCCATCTGTGTGCTATATTCAGGAGACCCATCTCATGTGCAAAGACACACATAGGCTCAAAATACAGGGATGGAGGAATATTTACCAAACAAATGGAAAGCAAAAAACCAAAACCAAAACAACAACAAAAAAACAGGGATTGCAATCCTAGTCTCTGAATAAACAGACTTTAAGCCAACAAAGATCAAAAAAAGACAAAGAAGGGCATTACATAATGGTAAAGGGATTAATGCACTAAAAGAGCTAATTATCTTAAATATATATGCACCCAATACAGGAGCACCCAGATTCATAAAGCAAGTTCTTGGAGACCTCCAAAGAGACTTAGACTCCCACACAATAATAGTGGGAAATCTTAGCACCCCACTCTCTATATTAGACACTGTCAATATTAGACAGATCAACAAGACATAAACTTAACAAGGACTTGAACTTAGCTCTGGACCAAGCAGACCTAATAGACATCTACAGAACTCTCTATGCCAAATCAACAGAATATACATTCTTCTGAGCACGACATAGCACTTATTCTAAAATCAATCACATAATTGGAAGTAAAACACTCCTCAGCAAATTCAAAACAACAGAAATTGTAACAGTCTCTCAGACCACAGTGCAATCAAATTAGAACTCAAGATTAAGAAACTCACTCAAAAACACACAACTACATGGAAACTGAACAATCTGCTTCTGAATGACTACTCGGTAAATAATGAAATTAAGGCAGAAATAGCAAAGTTCTTTGAAACCAAGGAGAATGAAGACACAACGTACCAGAATCTCTGGGACACAGCTGAAGCAGTGTTAAGAGGCAAATTTACAGCACTAAATGCCCACAGAAGAAAGCAGGAAGGATCTAAAATTGACACCCTAACATCACCATGAAAAGAACTAGAGAAGCAGCTGGGCTCGGTGGCTCACGCCTGTAATCCCAGCACTTTGGGAGGCCGAAGCAGGTGGATCACGAGGTCAGGAGATCGAGACCATCCTGGCTAACACGGTGAAACCCCGTCTCTACTAAAAATACAAAAAATTAGCTGGGCGTGGTGGCAGGTGCCTGTAGTCCCAGTTACTCGAGGGGAGACTGAGGCAGGAGAATGGCGTGAACCCGGGAGGCAGAGCTTGCAGTGAGCCAAGATCACGCCACTGCACTCCAGCCTGGGTGATAGAGCGAGACTCCATCAAAAAAAAAAAAAAAAAAAAAGAACTAGAGAAGCAGAGAGCAAACAAATTCAAAAGCTAGCAGAAGACAAGAAATAACTAAGATCAGAGCAGAACTGAAGGAGATAGAGACATGAAAAACCCTTCAAAAAATAAATGAATCCAGGAGCTGGTTTTTTGAAAAGATTACCAAAATAGATAGACCGCTAGCCAGACTAATAAAGAAGAAAAGAGAGAAGAATCAAATAGACACAATAAAAAATGATAAAGGGGATATCACCACTGATCCCACAGAAATACAAACTACTATCAGAGAATACTATAAACACCTCTATGCAAATAAACTAGAAAATCTAGAGGACGTGGATAAATTCC
Source organism: Homo sapiens (assembly GCF_000001405.40). NCBI lineage: Eukaryota > Metazoa > Chordata > Mammalia > Primates > Hominidae > Homo > Homo sapiens. The sequence goes on from NC_000012.12 coordinate 77,289,957, forward strand.
TGGACACACACACTCTCCCAAGACTAAACCAGGAAGAAGTCGAATCCCTGAAGAGACCAATAACAAATTCTGAAATTGAGGCAGTAATTAATAGCCTGCCAACCAAAAAGCCCAGGACCAAATGGATTCACAGCCAAATTCTACCAGAGGTACTAAGAGGGGTTGGTACCATTCCTTCTGAAACTATTCCAAACAACAGAAAAAGAGGGACTCCTCCCTAACTCATTTTATGAGGCCAGCATCATCCTGATACCAAAACCTGGCAGAGACACAACAACAACAACAACAACAAAATTTCAGGCCAGTATCCCTGATGAATATCGATGTGAAAATCCTCAATAAAATACTGGCAAACTGAACCCAGCAGCACATTAAAAGCTTATCCACCACAATCAAGTTGGCTTCATCCCTGGGATGTAAGTCCAGTTCAACATATGCAAATCAATAAACATAATCCATCACATAAACAGAACCAATGACAAAAAACACATGATTATCGCAATGGATGCAGAAAAGCCCTTCGATAAAATTCAACACCTCTTTATGCTAAAAACACTCAATAAAATAGGTATTGATGGAACATATCTCAAAATAATAAGAGCTATTTATGACAAACCCATAGCCAATATCATACTAAATGGGAGAAAGCTGGAAGCATTCCCTTTGAAAACCGGCACAAGACAAGGATGCCCTCTCTCACCACTCCTATTCAACATAGTACTGGAAGTTCTGGCCAGGTCAATCAGGCAAGAGAAAGAAATAAAGATATTCAAATAGGAAGAGAGGAAGTCAAATTATCTGTTTGTAGATGACATGATTGTATATTTAGAAAACACCATCGTCTCAGCCCAAAAACTCCTTAAGCTGATAAGCAACTTCAGCAAAGTCTCAGGATACAAAATCTATGTGCAAAAATCACAGGCATTCCTATACATCAAAAATAGACAAACAGAGAGCCAAATCATGAGCAAACTCCCTTTCACAATTGCTACAAAGAGAATAAAATACCTTGGAATACAACTTACAAGGGATGTGAAGGACCTCTTCGAGGAGAACTACAAACCACTGCTGAAGGAAATAAGAGAGGACACAAACAAATGGAAGAACATTCCATGCTCATGGATAGGAAGAACGAATATCGTCAAAATGGCCATCCTGCCCAAAGTAATTGATAGATTCAATGCTACACCCCTTAAGCTAGCATTGACTTTCTTCACAGAATTAGAAAAAACTACTTTAAATTTCGTATGGAACCAAAAAGGAGCCCATATAGCCAAGACAATCCTAAGCAGAAAAAACAAAGCTGGAAGCATCATGCTACCTGACTTCAAACTATACTACAAGGCTACAGTAATGAAAACAGCATAGTACTGGTACCAAAACAGATATATAGACCAATGGAACAGAACAGAGGCCTCAGAAATAACACCACACATCTACAACCATCTGATCTTTGACAAACCTAACAAACACAAGCAATCGGAAAAGGATTCCCTATTTAATAAATGGTGTTGGGAAAACTGGCTAGCCATAATGCAAAAAACTGACACTGGACCTCTTCCTTACACCTCATACAGAAATTAACTCAAGATGGATTAAAGATTTAAATGTAAGACCTAAAACCATAAAAACCCTAGAAGAAAACCTAGGCAATACCATTCAGGACATAGGCATGGGCAAAGACTTTATGACTAAAACACAAAAAGCAATTGCAAAAAAAGCCAAAATTGAGAAATGGGATCTAATTAAACTAAAGAGCTTCTGCAGAGCAAAAGAAACTAACATCGGAGTGAACAGGCAACCTACAGAGTTGGAGAAATTTTTTGCAATCTATCCATCTGACAAGGAACTAATATCCAGAATCTACAAGGAACTTAAACAAATTTACAAGAAAAAAACAAACAACCCCATCAAAAAGTGGGCAAAAGATATGAACAGACACTTCTCAAAAGAAGACGTTTATGCAGCCAACAGACACATAAAAAAATGCTCATCATCTCTGGTCATTAGAGAAATGCAAATTGAAACCTCAGTGAGATACCATCTCACACCAGTCAGAATGGCGATCATTAAAATATCAGGAAACAACAGATGCTGGAGAGGATGTGGAGAAACAGGAATGCTTTTACACTGTTGGTGGGAGTGTAAATTAGTTCAACCATTGTGCAAGACAGTGTGGTGATTCCTCAAGGATCTAGAACCAGAAATACCATTTGACCCAGCAATCCCATTACTGGGTATATGCCCAATGGATTATAAATCATTCTACACATGCACATGTATGTTTATTGCAGCGCTATCCACAATAGCAAAGACTTGGAACCAACCCAAATGTCCCTAAATGTTAGACTGGATAAAGAAAATGTAGCACATATACACCATGGAAAACTATGCAGCCATAAAAATGAATGAATTCATGTCCTTTGCAGGGACATGAATGAAGCTGGAAACCATCATTCTCAGCAAACTAACACAGGAACAGAAAACCAAACACCACATGTTCTCACTTGTAAGTGGGAGTTGAACAATGAGAACACATGGGCACAGGGAGGGGAACATCACACACCAGAGCCTGTCAGGGGGTGGGGAGCAAGGGGAGAGATAGCATTAGGAGAAATACCTAATGTAGATGATGGGTTGATGGGTGCAGCAAACCACCATGGCACATGTATACCTATGTCATAAACCTGCATGTTCTACACATGTATTTCAGAACTTAAAGTATAAAAAAAGTTTTACTTCTTTCTTTCCAAAAAAAAAAAGAATGCTAACCTCCAACACCCACTGTATATGTGTGGTGTCTATTTACATGTGTTGACTTCTAGTGTGATTTATTTACTTAAGTTGACTTTCTGTGTAGCTTAATAATTAATGTGGTTATACATAAAATATACACATTTTGAAGAAAAATTTTCAAAGTCAATAACCCTATCTTCTTTGATTCTTAGACTCTTTTATTTTTAGGTTGTCTTTTGCACTTTCTTATTTTTTCCCCTTACAACATAGAAACTCTGGCCTAATATAAAGTGCTTGATCCTTGCAAGTTACCAGCTTGCCCTTTTGTTGGCTGTCTCCTTTATGCAGCAATATAAAGAGAATACAACCACAGTGAGCTAATTTTTACCTAATTTCCTTCTCCTGGGGAACAAGACAAGGGAATGTAGTTTGACCTCAATAAAACAAAATGGATTTGTACTAATGGCATACTAGAGAAAATCCATTAAAGTCGTTTCAGATGATAAAAAAATTTGTTGAGATTTTTTAGACCATATTAAGGTTTTTAACAGAAATAACTTTAATTTTCTTATCATTGAAATAAAATTAAAGTGCAATTTTTTCTCATTTATCTGGCTGGAAAAAAGTGCAAAGGTTTGAGTTAACTGATCTACCGAGCTGAACACACACAAATACAAGTGAAGCTTTTGAAGATGCTAGGGCAATTTATCCAAGACACAGATTCATCTAAGGCCATTCTGTATTAGTACTTTTTGAACCTAAAGAAGCAGTATATTGGGGAAGGAAGAGTCATACTTTAGGACTAAGGTTTCTTAGAGGTCCCAGATAAAAGCAAGCAAACAAACATGTAAATATTGGTCATATTTTGTAAGATGAGGGGATAAGATAATTAGAAAGAAATACTTTGTGGTCGTTGCCACTGGGGGACATTTTAATGGATTTTTCTATTCAGTGGGAGATAAAGTTCATATTTAGCTCCCTTTCTCCTGCCGAAGAGAATGTTTCAAGCACCCTCTACTTACTACAGGGCAGGAAAGCACATGAGGCCAACTCACAGCAGAGGATGTCAGACTTAGAGAAAAGCCATTCCTGGTTAATAACTAATTCGTGGCAGGCATTTTACGAAGCACAATGGTTGGAGAAAATATTCTTAGGAATAATAAACAAATACATTAATTATAAGTCGAATCAACTTTCAGCAAGTCCATAAATAGAGATTGAAAATAATATCTTTGATGCAAAGAAATAACATCTCAGAGGAATGTGGGGTCAGGAGATGTGGACACTATGGCCGAAACTGGCTAGCTATTTCAAATTTTCTTTTTTTTTTTTTTTTTGGTATTTTGCTTTTCTAAACTTCCTAACCCCCCTTGCATGTGACTGAGTTATGACCAATGGAATGTGAGAAAAGAGACACAGGCCACTTTCAGGCCTTGGCCCATACCTATCTCAAGAGAGCCTTTAGGGTGTACAAACAGGATATTTATTGGGCCTGAGCACAAAGGCAAGTCAGAGGAAAATATATTTTCATACACAGGTTTATAAATATTTTCCTTCAAGTCCAAATGTTGAAGCAACCTTTGTGCTACGGGCATTTTTGAATGTGAGATTGAGCTTTTGCTGCTTGAAAGGAAGAATGAGTCATTTTAAACAAATGACCTAGCAAAACACCAGGGATCTTGATATAGAATCATCAAATCAACTTGTACCTGACTACTTTGCTCTCCAACAAAATTGCATAATTTTTCTTCTTTAAAGCCAATATTAATTAGATTTCCCTTTGACTTCTGTTAGTGTTCTCCTCCAATGTCTTTACTGGAAAGAAACATTTCTCTATATCTTGTAATTTTCCTTGCATAGGATTTCCACACTGAAGTTTGTTCTTTATGTAGGTTAAAGAACATAAAAACTTTAAAACTTTTAGTTTCTTGAATAAATACATGTATTGAACACTATGTGACAGAGGATGTACTGATGAGCACAAAAAAGTTATGGTTTTTGCCTTATGGAATGGGGAAGATGATATTCATCAAAGAATCACACAAATATAGTAAAATTACTACTTTGATCAGTGTAGTTACGGAGAAACAAATGACAAAATGAGACCTGATAAGACCTGGTATATTAGTCCATTCTCATGTGGCTAATAAAGACATACCTGAGACCGGGTAATTTATAAAGGAAAGAAGTTTAATAGACTCACAGTTCCATATGGCTGGGGAGGCCTCACAATCATGGCAGAGGATGAAGGAAGAGCAAAGTCACATCTTACATAGTGGCAGGCCAGAGAGCTTGTACAGGGGAACTCTCATTTCTAAAACCATCAGATCTCATGATACTTATTCACTACCAGGAGAACAGTATGGGGAAAATTGCTTTCATGATTTAATTATCTCCACCTGGCCCTGCCCTTGACACGTGGGGATTATTACAATTCAAGGTGAGATGTGGGTGGGGACACAGCCAAACCATATCACCTGGTAAGAGCTTTCCTGAGGAACATGATCATGGAGCTGGAATTTAATGGAAGAGTATCCTTAACCAATTAAAGAGTAGTGTACCTCTGGGGGTAAGAAGTGGGGATAGATTTTCAGCATATTAGAAATACCTATGGTAGGTAGAAGCAAAGACTGTGGAGAAATCAGAAGTAGGCAGGTATGGGGTATGGTGGATCACAGAGAATTGGGGAAGGAACAGCAAGATGTCCTTGAAGGGAAGGAGATTGTGAGAGCATGTGGTACCAAGGTGTAGAGGCACAGGTTTGTTTTTTTCCCCCAATAATAATGAAAAGCCATTGACATAATTAAGAAGGGATTTGAAGTTGGAAGGTCCATTTAGAATGATATAATTTGTCTTTGGCTTATTTTTTTCAGTTCAAGTTAATACTTATCGGAAAATTAATTATGGTATTTTCTGTCATTACATACAGGGAAACACATTAAAGTATCCAAATAGGAGCTATGCAAGACATCAAAAATAGGGTCAATTTTACTCTCCACAGGAACACGAGTATTGTGTTTTCAGAAACAATAGGATTCTGAATTGAAGGATGAATGCACAATTTGCACATAATGAAACCTTCTCCCAAACAGAGAGAAATCAGCCTATTCTAAAGGTATTAATTGCTTCTGTGAAGGGACCTTTGAGGTCTTTTTATTATTATTTTGCATAAGATCTTTCAGCTTGATGAGAGACTGAGTGTTGGATCTAAAAAACACTTTGAAGATGGTAATATTATATTCCCAGTGGATTGCAAGCCACAGTTTCCATTAAATTATGTAAAATGACATATCAGAGAAGCCTACTGTTCAGAGTGATCTATACCCACAGATTAAATTTTTAAAATCTGTTCATGTGCAGTAGAGAAAAGGGATTGAATCATGAATTGTTGATATTTCACACCCAAGAAAATGCACTTTTAATTTATCAGTTGCCTAAATGGAATGAAAATGTAAGCAGGGATTGGAATCTTATGATGCATGATTTCTACTTAGGAAGAGAAAGTAGAGGGCTTCATTTCTTTGAGAGTTTCAGCCTTAGCAAAGGACTTTGGTTGATATCAGGGACAATGACCTGGCAAAATGAATGTCTTCAAATCTAATGCCTAAAACCATACAAACAGGTGGCAATGCTTGGGAACACCACAGCAATAAGATTAACAAAGAACCAAAGAGAAGAGCCTGACACTATCAGGGACCATCTGGAATTGTGTGCATAAACAAGAGGTGATTGATCTTCTTTTACTTATTTTTTGAACATTTGTTTATGTGTGTGGTGCATAGTTTGTTTTCTTCTTCTTATTCCCTAAACTAATTTATATGTCCACATTCTGTTTTTCCTCAAATGCTGTTATCATATATGCAAATAAGGTGCTTATATTTTTCATGTAAATGATTTTTCAGAACTTCTATCCATTACCCCACAAAGAGTGAAAATCTGGTTTTTAAGCCTGTGCTATTTGAGAAGGGGAATGTGTTCAAAGTCACCTTTGGATTAGCTTTTAGTTTCTTGACAGACTTTATCCCAAGGGACCTTTTACTCATTAGTCACAGTAGGTTCTCTCCTGCATTCAAGGACTCAGAACTCTCTCTTTGGTAATATAAGGTATTGTCAGATAAAATTTCTGTTCTTTTCCTTTAAAGGTTTGTATTGAGCATAGACCGATGGAATCCTAGCCTTTCTGAATTGAACAAAATCTTAGAGGTTATCTTGTCCAGTCTTCTGGTTTTAAAAATGAGGAAAATAAGGTTTTAGTATATACTGCCTAATGAAAAGACCTGTGATCCTGAAGCCAAAAGACTTGGCTTGGATCCACCCACCCATTCATTCATTCATTCAGTCATTCACCATCGACTGTCTGCCTGGGTTTTAGTCTGCAGGATGCTTGGCAGTGAGGGTATTAAAGCAAGAAGGTAATAGTCTCTCTTTTCCAGAAGCCAAAAACTAAGGGATGAGAAAGACACACTAATCTGGGTGATCCTAGACAAATAAGGGAAACAGAGAGATTCTGTTTCCTTGTCTTTTAATTGGCAGTAACAGTAATAGTAACAATAACAATCTCCTAGGGTCAAACTGAGGAGGTGGGAAAAAAAAAATGAGGTTGACATAAAGCTCCTTTTGGGTATCCCAGATAGGTAACTAAGAAGCATCTGCTTAACAAAGTCTTTTTTTCCCCCCCGAAACAAGGGGTGGAGCTGAAAAATATACTTGGGAAAGATCTCTAGGGAAAAGCTGGTGGTCTTTCACCCTCCTCTTCCACAGTGAATAGAGAAGAGATTGCCACTGTGTTGTGAATCTCTCCCGTTTTTTGCCTCTTGTCTCTTGCCAATGGTTAGAGCTGGGGTTACTTCAGTGCTTTGGAAGTTTCTTTAGGAAGAAGACCATTGGTTTTGCTGTAGAGGGAATGGAGCTGGGTTTGAATTCTGGTTGCACTTATCAGCTGTTTGACTTTGGGCAATATTTAGTATTTCCTGAAATCTGTTTGCTATCATAAAATGGGGTATTGGAGCATCTGCATGCTTTGGCTAGAAGAGATAGATACGTGAATTATTTCTCTTAGCCCTGCCAGTAACTCTCTTTTATTTAGCTGGGGTCGATTTGAGAGAAGGCCTAAAATATCATCTGATACTTCTTAAATTTCCACCAGCTATGGAGTATAAAATTACACAAACATTGGGAAATTCTTCTCCTATGAAATAAATACACACTCCCTTATGATCCAGATTGATCCCCCCGCAAATAAAAGTATGTTCACACAAAAACTTCACATGAATGTTCAGAGGAGCTTTATTCACAATATCCTTAAACTGGAAACAACCCAAATTCACCTGCCTATCAACAGGATAGAATGGATAAACAAATGGTATATCCATACAATGGTATACTATTAGACAGTAAAAAGTAAAATACTGACTGCATTTGAAACAACATAGATGAATCTCAGACATACGGTATTAAGTGGGAAAAATAGACACAAAAAAGTACTGTATGATGCCATCTATATGAACTTCCACAACAGGAAAAACTGATTTCTGCTGATAGAAATCAGAATAGTGGTTGTTTCTGGGAAGTTTAGAATGGACTGGAAGCAGGCATGAGGGAGCTTTTTGGGGTGGTTGTATGAATGGATATCATATCATCAAATTTTATACTTAAGATTTGTGCATTTTCTTGTATTTCAAGTTTACTTCAATAAAAATACGTCCACCAATGAAAGACCCATTCAGCTTGGCAAGTTAAAGCTTCTGGAAGAATAAGCAGGAAGCATAGAAATCATTCTCGTCTTTTGCGTGAATTAGCTTAATCAATTGCTGTCTTGACAAAGAGAAATCTGTTTACAGCAACCTGAGAATTGGAGAATTATGCTGAAACTCTAAAAACAAATATTTTCAATATATACATATATGGATCTAGAGATCAGCCTAAGACATATTTGCAGTAGTGGGTCTCATCTGAGAAGTGTGTGTGTTCGCCAGGAGAATGAGCTTCTCATATTGCCAATTGCAGGGAGCATCATTGACTAAGGACTCCAATTGCTGGACTCTGAAATTCATCACCCAGTTTGTGCTGAGGCCACATTTCCCACAGCATGCGCCTGCCAATGACTGGGCGCAGCTGGGTTACTGAGGCAGACCTGTCCAATTAGAGATGAGGGCTTCCTTTGAGAGGCAACTTTGGCTTGAGGACTTCTCGCCTTCCACTATCTCTATCCCCACAGCCTCACCAAACGTTCTTAGAATGTACTAGACACTAAGATACATCCATCCAATCTTTCTCTCTCTCTCCTTCACTTGTGGTCAGACCTGCATCAAGATCTGACTGTCCTCCCAGCTTCTGCCCCTTTTCTCTTGCAGGTAGATCCCTGGTGCATGTCTTACATGTATCATTCTGTTTTGGTATTTGCTTCTTGAAGGATCTGACTGAAAACATGTGTGTGCAATGTGCGTGTGTGGGTGGAGGGAGGGAATCAGAATCAGGCCACATTTTCTAACCACACCCAACCCTCTTGTCCATCTTTGCTGGACACTCATGGGCGTGCAGCAGCCATAGCATTCAGGCACCTTGGCAAGATTACAAAACATTTGCTAGGCCTTCTCATGCTCCTTTTTATAATAAATCTATAGCAAAAAGCACAAAGCAGCTGTAGCCCAGGAACAGTTCTAGTGCCATTCGTAATATTAATACTTGTGATACTACTACATATCATGATACTATTAGAACTAAACCTTCACTGCTTTGAATCTTGCCTAATTTCTTTCAGGCCCTGTGTTAGTTCCTAAAGTTGTAATGTGCAGCTTTATTATGATCTAGTATAAATCTGAATCTGACCTACGAATATCTTTAGATTTTTTTCTTTAATAGGTAAGATCATTAACAACCTTACCCTTAAAAATCAAAGTAATGGTAAGAGTTGAGTGATCTCTCAAAATATATCATAGAGAATGCTGCGAATATTTTATCTTTGAAGGAAGAGATTTGTCATTTGGAATCTGATTTTAAGAAGATACATTATTTTGCTCTGAGAATAAAACTAAAAAGGCATTTACAAAGTTTGATTGAGCTGACTATGATACACAGGACATTAAGGGCAAGATTTGCTGAATATTATTCATTAGCAATATATTTTTTAAAATAGGCTTCTTTTACCATGTAGTGAGATGTTGCCTACTGGGTCTAAAAAATGTAAAATCTACTCAGAAGATTTGGCATAGGTTAGGGTTAATCTTGTCAGAGACTGTGGTCTAATACAAAAATGTGAGAACTTTATGATTAAGTAAGAATGATTTGTGCTTTGGTGAAAAGGGCTTTCTTTAAAGGGAGACTTCAGTATACATAAAATATTTCCGAAAAGATCCGCTTAAAGCTATTAACACAGATTGCTTCCCAGGACTGGGACAGAGACTTGGGCTTGGTAGGAAACTTACTGTTTGCATCCTATGCCCCTACATGCTGTTTAAACAAATTTCAAACCATGTGACTATGTTACCTTTTAATAAATAAAAAATGTTCAGATAAAATCTAGGACATGTGACAAAAGATATAATAAGGATATAATTTGGAGAATACAGCTTACGGTTGTAAATGAATATAAGAAAAATAAGCAAGTGACTGGCCATCTTCATGTGAGCCTTTGGAAGGCAGAGTATGACTACTGCAAGAGAAATCAAGAAGGAGATTGTTCAGTTATGATATATTTAAAAAGGCTTTTTATACACATCATGGTTGTAATTCTATAAGTGAGTCATTTGGTGTCAGCTGGTGATTCATAACTTACTGGATATTCTGGTTAAAATGTCAACATCGCTTAGAATGAAAATGCAGAGGTATCAAAAAATCAAATGTAATATTTTAGGGGAAATCAGCAGACCATTACTCTGTGACCAAGCTCTGTTAAGTGAGCATTATCTCATGGTGTTTTTGCAGAATCAGTCTTGGTATATGAAAGTGTGATTAATATTGTGCACTATGAAAGCTAATGCTCTATATTTTTGTTCATGGCTCTATAACCACAGATTTTTAAAAAATTAACATGCAACACATACAGGGAGGAATTTTAAAGGACACTTACACATTGAGAAGGAACTTTATTATATGGCTTTATGGAGTTCTATGTTTGTTTTCTTTCACGGGGTGTCAGAAAATCTTGTTGATATTAGAAGCCTACAGCTGAGTTTTAAAAAAATCAACATAAGGATTTGAAAATCCAGCTATGTTCTCTTTTGCTTTTCAATTTCCCACCAGAATTCCCTGTAAATTTTATGGTTCATACAGCAGGAGGCAAGTCAGGTGGTTCTTTTCACCATTCTGCAACAGACCCAGTGGAGGAAGGTCCTGAACATAGACTCAAAGGTTATTTTAGTAAATCTGTAACTCACTGACTTTAGCAAATTTGCCCTTAATCTCTGTGTCTCATATTCTGACTTGTATCCTCCTATTTTCTAGAACATTTATGAACTTAATGTGATGATAGATTATCCAGAAAGTGTTTTGACTTCTTAGGAAAAACAGTATGATCTATGTAGTGAGTTGAATGGTGGCTCCCCAAAAAACACCTCTAACTGGACCACCTAGAAACTGTGATGAGACTTTCTTTGTAAGATGAGATCATGCTGGATTCTTTGGTGGGTCCTACACTCAATGACAAGTATCCTTATAAGAGACAGAAGAGGCAGGGACACAGAAGAGAAGTCCATGTGAAAATGGAGGCAGAGATTCGAGTTATCCAGCCACAAGCCAAGGAAACCCTGGAGTCACCAGAAGCTGGGAGAGGCAAGGAAGGATTCCCCTCTGGAGCTTTTGGAGGGAATGTGGCCCTGCTGACACCTTGATTTCACTCTGTCCTCCAAAACTGTGAAGAAAAAAACATCTCTTGTTTTAAGCCACCAAGTTTGTGGTAATTTGTTACAGCAGCTACAGAAAACTAATACACTTTGATTCGAAGTACTCATTGCTATCTGACCTTAAATCATATGATCAAGCACAGGAAAGTTATTTATGAAAAGTTATATAGGTACTAGTATATATAGTATATAAGGGGGCGGGGGTGAGCCGGGCGCAGTGGCTCACGCCTGTAATCCCAGCACTTTGGGAGGCCGAGGTGGGAGGAATGCTTGAGACCAAGAGTTCACGACCAGTCTGGGTAACATGGCAAAACCCTGTCTTCATAAAAAATACAAAAATTAGCTGGGCATGGTGGCATGCACCTGTAGTCCCAGCTACTCAGGAGGCTGAGGTGGGAGGATCACTTGAGCCCAGGAAGTTGAGCTGCAGTGAGCCATGATTGCACCACTGCACTCCAGCCTGGGCAACAGGAATGAGACCCTGTCTCAAAAAAAAAAAAAAAAAGAAAAGAAAAGAAAAGAAAAAGTGGTGTGATTTATGACAGATTCTCAGCTGGGGGCAATTTTGTCCCCCAAGAGACATTTGGCAATATCTAGAGGCATTTTTCTTGTCACAATATAGGGGGATGTGCTACTAGCATCTGGTGGCTAAAGCCAGGGATGCTCTAAACATCCCACAATGCATAGGGAAGTTCCCCTAAAACAAAGAATTATCCAGTCTATAAAGTCAATAGTGCTGAGGTTGAGAAATCCTTGTGCACGAGAAAGCCTATAGCACTGTGTGATTAAAACCTTAGCTCTGCCATGAATTTGTGAGCAAGACAATTTATCCTGGGAAGTAAACCTTTTGAAGCTTTAGTTTTCTCATCTGTAAAACACGTTGATACCTGCCAGGCCTTTTTAAAGTTTCAAAAAGATAAAGTCGGTCAAGGAATTTTATACTTTAAGAATCCTTTAATAGTAACAACATGATTTCATTATTACTATTCCTATGTCTTTAATGCAAACAAAAGCAAATCTTTGATTTTTAGTTAATATCGTAGGAAGTCCACAATAGCGAAGTTCACTGAGCCACAGGGGAGCCACTTTTATACTTTTATGGTTATTATCTCCCATAGAATAGTTCTCAGAAATTTCATGAGTATTATTGTTTAATGATGTTTTTCAGTGGCAAGGATACTCTGGAGGTACTCATAAAGTTTCTCTGGGGAGCTTATAGTTTATGTCAGATAAATAACAAAATCGAAGCCAAATGGAGAGTTGAAATTTTAAAGTAATACGCACGGTAAAAGCAGGGCTAGCACTATGTAGCCTTTACAGTGATTTTGGTATTTTTTTTCCTAATGGTTATTAAAACAACCCCATGAAGCTAGTTGACAAGTGCTGTCTTCATTTGACTTAGGGGCAAACTGAAGCCCAGAGCAGCAAATGTGCTTAGACAGCAAATGGCAGGGCTATGATTAGAACTCAGATGTTCTGCTTGTTCCACTACGAGGCGTCTGCAAACACCAGCACGTTGAAATAGGGTTTTAGTAATGATCACTGGAGTATGTCATGAAAAGTGAATATTTATTTGAAACTCAAAGGCAAAAATTCTTTGATAGGCATTTCTAGGAAGAAAATTTTAGTTATAATACAGAATGTGAGAATTAAACTTGTTTCAGAAGCAGGCTGGGAAAATTCCTATGATGCTCAATCCCAGGCCTTCATCTAAGAATTTTTATTGAACACCTAAAGTATAGAAAATGGTGTTCTAAATGCTGTAGGAAGGGCAGAGGCGAGAAGAAATAAACATGATGTGTAATTCAGAAGGGTTGTATACTAAGAGAAAAACAAATCTTTTAAATCAATTTATGCCAAAATGTAATGGCATATATTGATTATTGATTAGTGGCAAAGAAGGAATACATTAAAGCAGGGGTTCCCAACCCTCAGGCCACAGACTGGTACTGGTTTGTGGTCTGTTAGGAACTGGGCCGCACAGCAGGTGAGCAGCAAGTGAGAGAGAGAGTGAAGCTTCATCTGTATTTCCAGTCGCTCCCCATCACTCACATTACCACCTGAGCTCTGCCTCCTGTCAGATGAGTTGTGGCATTAGCTCCTCACAGGAGCATGAATCCTATTGTGAACTATGCATGTGAGGGATCTAGTTTGCATACCGCTTATGAGAATCTAATGCCTGATGATCTGAAGTGAAACAGTTTCACCCCAAAACAGCCCCTCTGCCACCATGCCCCACATGTCCGTGGGAAAATAGTCTTCCATGAAACTGGTCCCTGGTACCAAAAAGGTTGGGGACTGCTGCATCAAAGAGACAATTTACCAAAAATAAGATTCATTCAATACTAGTCCATTGAGACAGTTCTTTAAAAAGTGAGGGGTTCTTTTTTGGTGAAACAAGTATGGAGAAGACATTGTATCCACTGATTCTAAAATGGTGTGTGTGTGTATGTGTGTGCGTGTGAGTGTGTCTATAAGCAGCAGGTGTGACATAGCTGTACTTGTCTACATATCAGTGAACATAGTTATTATTCTTGGAATAATGAAAACTTCTGGATGCTTCAGTCACTTTACAGACCATTTGAGTCCTTGCCTGATCTCTGGAAACTTCTTTGACATCTTCTAGTCAAGAAAGTGCCAATATCAAAACTTCCATAATAGATACAAGTAGCTTGAGATGATATTATAGGGACCATAGTAAAACACTCTTAAATATTGTGTCAGCAGTGCTCTTGATGACACCAAAAAATATTGTATAAAAAATGATAGCGAATCTTAGTTTGAAAAGTTATTCAGAGAGTCAGATTCTAAATGTGAAATTTTGTTAATACTGTAATCAATTACCTTTGCCTTTTTATATATGCATGTGGCTGATACACAACGAAACTCTACCTATAAGTTTGCAGCACTGTCAGTATTTAAAAAATTATAAATGACTAATAAAACATCATGTCATATTTGGTATTATTATTTCTTACTTAACAATACTCAAAATGATATATCTTAATAGTATTATATGACAATTTAAATTCAATGAATATATTTACCTCTTGTAATGCATGGAAGGATATATACCTCTACATATCAGCATACAGAAATGCTAATAATTATGATATTAGAGGCCCTAAGTTTTACAGTAGAGAAGTAGATTAATTTTTATATACATTTTATGATAATCCTTCTACTATAAAATGTATGTCTTGTATGACTTAATTTTATATTTCTAATATCAGTTCATAATACAACTTTCATAAAGACATGCAATATATGCCTACATTAGAACTATGTTAACTTCTAAAACTGTTTTTGAGATAAATATTTACTTTCTTTAAATAAGAAGGATTATTTTAATTATTTTCAAAGGCAGGTACTCTAATCAACCAACATTATTCATGTCCTTAACTTACTATAGGTCAGTTCATAATAAATTAGGCATTTGAAAGAAATTCTTTGAAATTAGATTTCAAAGATTAAATAATTTGATTAAAATTATTTTAATTAGATTACCACTTGACTGAAATAAACAACATATGTGTTAGAGTAGCAATAGCACTTAGGATGGTTAGTTTTATGTGTCAACTTGACTGGGTCATAGGGTACCCAGATATTTGGTCAAACATTATTCTGGGTGTGTTTGTGAGGATGTTACTGAATTAGGTTAGCATTTGAGTTGGTAAACTGACTAAAGCAGATTGTTCCCCCTAATGTGTGTGGCCCTCATCCAATCAGTTGAAGGCCTGATCCAACAAAAAGGTGGAGGGAACTCCTCCTCCCTGGCTGCTTGAGATGGAACATTGGTCTTTTCCTGCCTTGACCTTGAACTGAAACATACTCTGCTTGGGGCTCCAGCCTGCCAGCTTTTAGACCATCAGCTCTCTAAGGTTCCCAGTTTGCTGACTGCAGATCTTGAAACTGCTCAGCTTCCATAATCATGTGAGCCGTGCATATATAAGTATACAACCTATGGTTCTCTGGAGAACTCTACACCAAACCTTATAATTCTTTCCTTTTCTTTTTATTTTGGAGACAGGGGCTCACTCTCACCCAGGCTGTAGTGCAGTGGTGTGTTCACAGCTGACTATAGCCTCAACCTTCTGGGCTCCAGTGATCCTCCCACCTCAGCCTCCCAAGTAGCTGGGACTACAAGCGGGCACCACCATGCCTGGCTAATTTTTAAAATTATTGTTTGTAGAGATGGAGTCTTACTATATTGCCCAGGCTGGTCTCAAACTGCTGGGCTCAAGTGATCCTCCTGCCTCAGCCTCCCAAAGTGCTGGGATTACAGGCCAACCTTGATCATTCTTTTTAGCCTCTCACTACTCAAAGTGTGACCCTGGACTGGCAGCATTGACCTCACCTGAGAGCTATTAGAAATGCAGAATCTCAGGCCCCACCCAAGACCTACTGAATCAGAATCTGCATTTTGACAAGATCCCCAGGTGACTTGTATGCACATTACATTTGAGAAGTACTTCTTTAGACTATTTTGAAGTCTTTGCCTATAATTTGTGTTACTAGAGTACAAAAGAACCTTATAATTATTTGACATTAATACTTCAAGGGAGGCACAATAGGGAGATTGTAACAAAGTTTTTTTTTTAGAATTTTGCATAATATTTGATGAATAATTTTGGAATGACAAGAGGAAAAAAATTACCTTTGAAATTTATATTCCTGGAAAATTTTAAGGTTTACCAATTTCCAAATAATAATATACTACAATTGACATCTGGTTATTCTGTAGCAATAACAAGCAGATTTCTATAATTAACATTACAAATAAACCTTGTAGATACCACTGTGAACACCTTCAAACATTTTAACATTGATTAAGAGTGGATTGCACAACTGGCCTGTGATACACTGTGGCTAATAGTAATAGTAATATCTTGAATTTTCTCATGCAAAGAATAACATTAATATAGCACTTTAGAATTTTCAAATAAAGTTCACATACATCAATAGCCTATAAGATTCTTTCGATAAGCTTGTGAGATAGCTATAGGACATTTCTTCTGAAATACTTTTATAATTATTACTTTTCTTATATATTTACCTTTTTCAAGTCAGAAAAGCCAGTTTAAATTTAAATTTAATAAATATATTTTTTGATACTGGCTCAATTTTATTATTTTCAATTATTATTAGTACCACTCCTATTGCTCAAGCAAGACTAGATTTTGTTGTTGACTGAGTTTTCCTCTTATTTATATTTTTTGTGGCAAAGAAATCAAGCACTATTGCTTCTTTCCTTGGCAGCCCACTTGCCTCCTTTCTGAGTGCAACAGGGAAATGGCCACGTGTAATTCATTTGACAGCCTCTGCTTTTTGTTTCCGAGGAAGTAACTCTACTTAGTTATCATCACCCAAAAGTGTCTTGCTGTTGGGCAGAGATGAAGTTGCTATTGTATCTGCATGTCTAAGGTAGGATTTAATTATGAGAGAAGAAGATATCCTATCACACTGAAATTTTATCTTGCCCAAGGGACATTTAGGCATGGGAGGTTAGCCAAGAGATATCAAGAGAGCAGCTGATGCAGCTGAGACTGGATCTCAGTCCTGGAGAATTGGGCTGCTGGTGCTTAGAGGAGTGAAGAGGACTACAGGGTACTTGTCTTTTGGTTTAGATAAAACAATATTTTACTCTGAATACAGGAAATAAACTGCCAGTTTTGAATATTGCATTATAATAACTTGGTGTATTTGAAAGACAGTAATGTAAGAAATGAGAAAATTGCTTTCTAGTAGTTATTCCACTTCACAGACACATTTATAGAATTTTCAGACAATGTGTTAAGAGGAAAGATGATTTGAGGATATAGAAGTATCACTTCTATGAGATCAAACTTAAAACTGTTTTTACTATATTATGTGAACAACATCCAGTTTTTTTTTTTTAAGATTTGAAATTCCCTGGTTGGGTTAAAAAAATAATTCATAAATGTAAGATTGGGTGAACAATTAAGCTGATTAGTCAAAATACATATTTCTTTCTAAAACTAATTAACTGTTCACAAGAATATAATATAATGAAAAAGACTTTGTTTCTAAGAATTCAAAGCCATAAAAGTAAAGGGCAAAGAGACAAGGAGAGGTGATGTAGAAAAATGGACTCATTCCATGCATAATTAAACAAAATTAACTCTTTCATGAAGATTCAAGATTGCTAATTAATACTAAAACTTCAACTTTTCAACATTTGCCATTGCAATCACTTAGCTTCTATCATACTCCCTCTAATCTCTCTCTCAAGAGGTTTCTTTCTTCCTGCCTTCAAACAAGCAGTTTGCTCTATCTTGACACAAGAGAACAAAACAAAAAAAATTTCTAGCTAGGCCTCACTATTCCCCCAAGGCACCACTTTGTATTTATTGTTCACTCCTTTCCTGCCAAAATTCTCTTTCCAAAGTCACTGCCACACTCTTCGTTCTTAAAATATTTAACATAAGGAAAAGCACTGAGCATATAGCTGGTACTCCGATATTTGTACCTTTTTTCCTTGTATAAATTCCAAGGGTTTATTTCCAGAGTCTTTGGCTCCTTTGATCTCTCCATAGTAGTTAATACTCTTTACTTCCAGTTGAATTTCCCCCTTCCGGTTTTCCATGGTTTCTCTCTGTTCAGATTTCTGTGTTACACTGGCATTTGTCTCCATTTGTAAGTCACACACCACACTGTTCTCTCTTTGACCACACTTGCCTTGACTTCTTTGATGACTTATCTTTTTCTTCCCACTCTTTCCCCTTGATGAGCTCATCCACAAGGCTACAACCCATGCTCTAAGATGCAAAAGACTCCCAACTCTGTATTGTAACTACTAATCTCCTTACCAAACAAAGTCAAATTGTTTGTTAGATATTTCCACTCAGATGTCCTACTGTTAGCACAAAACCAATATTTTTCAAATTCGATTAATTATATTTGATGCTAAACCAGCTGCATTAACTCCCACTTCCTCTTGGCATCAGTATTATTCTCATCACTTAAAGTCAAAACTCCTGTTTTTTGCTTGATTTTTTTCCCTTTTTTATTTTTTGGTTTATTAAGAAGCCTAATCAATCTCTAGATTCAGTAAGGCTT